>NC_000020.11:2793607-2945122 GCF_000001405.40 Homo sapiens | reverse complement strand
AGAGAATTAGTGAGCTGGTAAATAGGTCAAAAGGAAGTATCTAGAATGAAGCAGAGAGAAGCAAAAAGATTTATAAAAAAATACCAAAGAGAAGGTAAGAGGTATAAAGGATACAATGAAATGATCTAACCTACATGTAATTTCAGTTTCAGAAAAGCGGAAAGGGAGAAATGGAACAGAAGAAATATTCGAAGAACAGACGAAGGCTGAAAATTCTCCAAAACTGAGGAAAAACATCAAACCACAGATCCAAGAAGCCCTAAACACCCCCCAAACAGATAAATAAAAAGGAAATCTGTGTCTAGATACACAATAGTGAAATTTCTGAAAACCAAATAATTATTTAAAAACAATTTTTTTAAGCACTCGAAAGGAAAAAAGACACTGTGGTAGACTGTTTGCAAAGATGGCTACGTAAAATCCCATCCTTGTACACATGCCTTTTACAGTGAGACACTGCCACTCCTATCAACAGGTGAAGTTTATTTCTCCATTCCTTTAATTTGAGTTGGCCCTGTGACTTGCTTAAACCAATAAAATGCAGAAGTAATGGTGTGTCTTCCAAGTTGATACCTCAAGAGAACTTACAGCTGTCATTTGGCTCTATGGGAACACTGCTGTCATAATGTGAGAAGCTTTGGCTCACTTCCTTACGTTAAGAGAGAGGCCCAATCAACAAGTGACACCAACTGCCAGACATGTGCTTGAGACAATCTCAGTCCCAGATGAACCATTAGATGATTACAGTTGCATGAATGACTTCAATCAAGACCAGCAGAGGGGCCAGGCATGGTGGCTCACGCCTGTAATCCCAGCACTTTGGGAGGCCGAGGCAGGTGGATCATTTGAGGTGAGGAGTTCGAGACCAGCCTGGCCAACATGGTGAAACCCTATATCTACTAAAAATAAAAAAATTAGCCAGGTGGTAGTGGTGTGTGTCTGTAATCCCAGCTACTCAGAAGGTTGAGACAGGACAATTGCTTGAGCCTGGGAGGCGGAGGTTACAGTGAGCCGAGATCATGCCACTGCACTCCAGCCTGGGTGGCAGAGTGAGACCCTGTCTAAAAAAAAAAAAAAAAAAAAGACCAGTAGAGGAACCAAACAGCTACCCAGCATTGATTGATATTCACAGAATTGTGAGCCAATTTTTGATGGTTGTTGCTTTAAAATATTAAATTTGGGGATGTTTTGCTAGGCAGCAATAGAAAATGGATACGAAAATATTTTCGTCAAAAAAAATTAGATTAACAGCTGATCATAATACTTAAGTATTAACTTTTTCTTAAACTTTAGAATTTAAGTTGCAGGATATCAAGAAGAGTAAACATCAACCAAATAATCTGCATCCTCTTTTAGAGAAAGGAATAGTGTGTTTTCGGCTACATGCAAGATAGTTCTTTCATGCTAAGCAGAAGTATGACTTTGTTACTGTCTTTATTTGGAGATTAATAATGGTTTAAGGAGATGTGTATGGGTGCCAAGTTGATAAAGAGTAGACTTGTGATTGTTAATTTGGTTGGGCCACACCACAGTGTCCAGATATTTGGTTAAAGGTTATTCTGGATATTTCTGTGAGGGGTTTTTTTGGATGAGATTTACATTTAAATCAATGGACTCTTGAGTACAGAAGGTTGCCCTCCATAATGTAGGTGGGCTTCATCCATACAACTGAAGGTCTGAATAGCACAAAAGGCTGACCTTCCCCACGCAAGAGGGAATTCTCCAGCAGACTACCCTTGAACTTGAAGTGCAGTTCCTTCCTGGGTCTCCAGCCTGCTAGCCTCCCCCACTGTGAATCAATCCCTTAAAATAAATCTATATAATATGTATGTAATATATGACTAATATTTAATATAATAAGCATATATTTAATATAATTTCAGTACTACCCCCTTATCTGGGGGGGGGGTGGGGGGATATGTTCCAAGACTCCCAGTAGATGCCTGAAACCACAGATGGTACTGAACCCTACGTAAACTGTATTTCATTCCTATACATGCAGGCTATGTGTTGTAATCTGTAGGGTAACCACTAAAAGAACAGGGTCTATAACTTGGCAAGAGGGAAAAAAGCTAGGATAGTAAAAAAGTCTATCAATCCAAAAAGCAAGAAAAAAGAGAAAAAGGAACATGCTGGCATATTATTATAAGTATTGTATTTTATTATTAGTTATTGTTAATTTTTTACTGTGCCTAATTTATAAATTAAACTTTATCACAGCTATGTATGTATAGGAAAATATATATCTGTGGTTTTAGGCATCCACTGGGGGTCTTGGAATATAATGCTTCCCCCAGATAAGAAGGTACTACTGTAATTATATTATATGTCATATTAAGTATACATTAATTCTACTAGGTAGTAGCCACATTATATATTAATTATATTAAATATATATCATATAGAATTATTTTAAGGAATTGACTCATAATAGAAGAGGCTGGCAGGCTGGAGATTCAGGGAGGAGTTGCATTTCAAGTGCAAAGGCAGACTGCCAGAGAATTCCCTCTTGCTTGGGGGAGGTCAGCCTTTTGTTCTATTCAAATCTTTGAGGAAAATAGAAAGCAAAGAATATATTAACTATATTAAACAAACTAAATGTTCCAATTAAAATACAAAAATTATAAAGCCTAATAATAAAAGCCCTCAATTATATGCTGTTTAAAAGAGACATTTTTAAGCTTAAGGATATAGAAAAGTTGAAAATAAAAGAATGGAATAAAATAAGCCATGAAAATACTAGTATAACACTGATGTCAAAATCTGACAAAGCACACAAAAAAGAAAATAACTTTAACTGCAAAATCTTAAAATCCTAGCAAAGAAAAAGCAGCATATGTTATAATTATACCACAACCTGATCAAGTAAGGCTTACTTCAAAAATTTAACCATGGTCCATTATTGGAAAACATATTAATAAAAATCCTCACAAAAATAATTCAAAATATAAAAAGCCATATGATAAGCCTGATGAATGCTGGTTTACAGAACTGGTTTTCTTTAAAAAGGCAATCATTGGGGAAATAACCCGCTTACTCAGTATTTACTATGTGCTAGGCCCTGTTCCTTCTACTAGAAATAGTGAACAAATTCTAACAGAATCCCTATCTTCATGAAGCTTACAGTCTAGTAGCAGAAAACTGACATTAAACAAATCACCTCACAGACAAATAGGAGAAGTGATGGAAAAGAGAATTATAGGACTCTAAGAGCCTATAGAAGAAGAAAATTTGACCTAGTCAGGGAGCTCAGCCAAGGCCTCCCTAAGGCACTGATTCCTGAGCTGACAAGTAGAAGATGAACAGGAATCAGGGAGGCATTAAGGAGGGCAGGGAACTCCATGCCAGTCCGTAACCTCAGAAAGGGCAGGAGCAGGGTCTGAAAGAAGCCACCGTGTCTGAAGTATAAAGAGTAAGGGGGAGCAGGTGCCAGGAAGCTGGAGATGTATACAGGGTAGGGCCACACAAGGGTGATTTTTCTTTGTCCCATAAGCATTAAGAAGCCTTTGAAGAACAGAAGCATGACAGTGACCTCCCTGCCCTGCATTTTGGAATGAACACTTCATTTAGCTGGGTGTAGAGAATATAGCACTGGATGTGGACAGTCCAGTTAGAAGTTACTGGTGGAGACACAAAAGTGTTACAAGGAAGGAGATATTCAGGAAGTAAACTGCACAGGGTGTGATAATAGATTTGCTCTTGGGGTGACAGGGAGTGCTGAATGCTACTCCTCTTTGGTTTCTGATTTACCTAACAGATGCCATCCAGTAAGTCAGATAACAGAGGAAAAGAGACAAGGCGTAGTGGCTCATGCCTGTAATCCCAGCACTTTGGGAGGCCAAGGAGGGCAGATCACCTGAGGTCAGGAGTTCAAGACCAGCCTGGCCAACATGGTGAAACCCCATCTCTACTAAAAATACAAAAATTAGCCTGGCGTGATTGCAGGCACCTGTAATCCCAGCTACTAGGGAGGCCGAGGCAGGAGAACTGCTTGAACCCAGGAGGCAGAGGTTGCAGTGAGTTGAGATCGCGCCACTGAACTCCAGCCTGGGTGACAGAGCGAGACTGTCTCAAAAAACCAAAGAAACAAAAAAAACCCCCAAAAAAAAACCAGAAGAAAAGAACACGTTTTGTGAGAGAAATATCTCACAAATACCTAGAAACCAGAAACAAAAGAAACTTTCACCCAAGAAAATTATGTATCTTGAAATATCAGTATCACTAAAGCAGGACAAGAAAGGGACAATGGTTTCACTTCTAGGATTTACAAATCATCTGGAAAAAGGGCTGGCAATTAAGTCTCTGCTTCAACTACTCAACTCTGCTGTCGTACCATGAAGGCAGCCACAGACAATATATAAACAAATGAACATGGCATATTCTAATAAAACGCTGAAATTTGAATTTCATATAATTTCTTTTTTTCTCTCTCTCTTTTTCTCTCTGAGACAGGAGGATCCCATGAGCCTGGGAGGTCGAGGCTGAAGTGAGCTGTGTTTACACCAATGCACTCCAGCCTCAGTGACAAAGTGAGACCTGTCTCCAAAAAAAAGGAAAACCTATTCTGAGCTTGTCTGCCATACCAAAATAAGCAGTGAGCTGGATATGGGAAACAGATTATAGTTTGCCAATCCTTGTTCTAAAAGTAGATAATGGGATAAGAAAACAGCTAGGTATGGGGGTATATGCCTGTAGTCCCAGATACTTGGAAGGCTGAGGGAGGAGGATTGCCTGAGCACAGGAGTTCAAGTCCAGCCTAGGCGATACAGCGAGACCCGGTCTCTTTAAAAAAAAAAAAAAGAAAAGAAAAGAAAACAAGATATAATTATTGGGGGAAAACCCCTTAACTGTTATTTGTATTTGAAAGACTACGTACATAGGTTAAAAAAAACTACTGGAACTAAAGTTCATAATTTAAAATTGCAGCAGGGATTTACAGTTCAGGAAAAGATGGAGTAAGCATATTCCACCCTATTCCTCCCACTGATTTGTTTTTGTTTTTGTTTTTGTTTGAGATGGAGTTTTGCTCTTCTTGCCCAGGCTGGAGCGCAGTGGCGCGATCTCAGCTCACTGCAACCTCCACCTCCTGGGTTCAAACGATTCTCCTATCTGAGCCTCCCAAGTAGCTGGGATTACAGGCGTCCCCCACCATGCCCGGCTAATTTTTTTTGTATTTTTAGTAGAGACGGGGTTTCACCATGTTGGCCAGGCTGGTCTCGAACTCCTCACCTCAGGTGATCCGCTCGCCTTGGCCTCCCAAAGTGCTGGGATTGTAGGCGTCAGCCACCGCGCCCAGCCCTTCCCACCGATTATAACCGAACATTCTAGATGAAATTCATGACACAAGTGACAGAAAAATTCTGAAAAGTAGAAAAAAGAAGGTAGATTGGCTAGGGACCAGGGGACATGAGGACTGACCCAACAGGAAGCTCCCTACTTTTTTGTTTGGTTTGGTTTAACTTCTAATATGTCCTAGCCCAAGCTCTGAAGCCACAATCTGAAAGATCCAGTAAGCACAGACAAGAAAGTGCCAAGAAAAGCCTGCCCTCTCTAGGTAAAGAACTGGGAAAGGGGCAGCTCAGCAGACAAAAACATTTTGACCAGGCAAACTAAAAAAGGGGAGGAGGTACCCCTCCTTTTCCTCACCAGACACTGTGGCCCAGAAATTGTGAACAGCATTCTGCCTTCCAACACAACTCTGCCATAATGAGGTGGCACGCCTTTCCCCTCTTCTCCATGTTACAGCTGCAGAGAATGTGGGTGAACTCATCTTTCTCTACCCTGGAATAACCAGATGGAGTCCTAATCCCAGCAAAACTACAGAATTGGGAAAGGATTATGGTGAGGAGAGAGCTAGAGAAATGAATTCTCTGAATCTGTGTATGAAATCCTAAAAGTGCCTCTGAGCAACCCATGTGTAAAAATGACCAGAAACAACACAGCAAAAGGCATAAGAACTGAACACTGCTCCGGAATAACACCTAAATTTCAGACTGGCCTTTCGGTAGCACAGACCATAAGAGTAAAACAAGACTGAAAACTGAACCACAGTCGACAAAAGTGGGACAGGGTATGTGTTCTAAACCTAAACAGGTTGACTGTTAAATATAAAAATTTAAACAGGAACCAGAATCTCATAGCACAATATTCCAAGTGCTAGGATGCAATCCAACATTACTCATTATACCAGGAACATGAAAATCTCAACTTGAATGAAAAAAGGCAATCAACAGATGACAATACCAAGATAATATAGATTTTGGAATTATTTGAAAAGAATTTAAAACAGCGCTCATGAAACTGCTCAAACAAGACATTATAAACACTCAGCATATAGAAGACATAAGGAGTACCAAATGGAATTTTTAAAAATAAAATTTCTGAAATTAAAAAGACCCACTGGATGGGCTCAACAGCAAAAGAAAAATGATAAAGGAAACAATTAGTAAACTTAAATGAATGGAAATCATCCAGTCTGTACAAGAGAGAAAGTAGATTGAAAAGAAATGAACACAGTTTCAAAGTCCTGTGGGATAATAACAAAGATCTAACATTCATGCTATCAGGGTCCCAAGAGTAAGAGAATGAATGGAGAGATGAAAAAAAAAAATTTAAGAAATAATGGCTAAAAACTGTCTACTGGGTACGGTGGCTCGCATCTGTAATCCCAGCATTTTGGGAGGCTGAGGCAGGGGGATCACCTGAGGTCAGGAGTTCGAGACCAGCTTGGCCAACATGGTGAAACCCCATCTGTACTAAAAATACAAAAAATGAGTTGGGTGTGGTGGCGGGTGCCTGTAATCCCAGCTACTTGGGTGGCTGACGCAGGAGAATTGCTTGAACCCAGGAGGCGGAGGTTGTAGTGAACCAAGATCGAGCCACTGCCCTCCAGCCTGGGTGACACAGCAAGACTCCGTCTCAAAAAAAGGAAAAAACAAAAACAAAATCAACTATCTATCTATCTGTTTTAGAGGTGGGGTCTCACTATGTTGTCCAGGCTGGTCTCAAACTCCTGGACTCACGAAATCCTCTTACCTTGGCCTCTCAAAGTGTTGGGATTATGGGCATGAGCCACCACACTCAGCCTCAGATTTAGATATAAACTTACAGAATCAAACTTCTAAAAACTAAAGAAAAGTCCTGAAATCAATTAGAGAGAAACAACATATCACTCATAGGAGAATAACAATTTGAAAGACAACAGATTTTTCATCAGGAACCATGGAAACCACAAGGATGGATACAATATTTTTCAAATGCTGAAAGAAAATAACTATCAAGCTAAAATTCTATAGACAGTGAAAATATCCTTCAGAAATAAAAATGAAATACAAATACTGGCAGATGAACAAAACTAAAAATGTGTCACCAACAGATCAGCTTTGAAAAGAATGGCTAAAGAAACTCTATCAGAAAGGAAGTAAATGATAACAGAAGAAAACCTCAAATAGAAGTAAAGAAAAAGCAATGGAAAGGGTGTGTGTGTGTCTATATATGCATATATCCATATATATGTTATGCATATATATATGTTTATTCATATACAGACACACATACATACACTAATTAAGCAATTCTTCTCTTGAGTTTTAAAGATTATGTTTGATGGTTGAAAGTAAAAATTATAGCAGTCCCTGAAGTGGTTCTCCTTGTATGTAGAGGTAATATTTAAGACAACTGTACCATAAAGAAGGAAGGTGTGCCAGGCACAATGGCTCATGCCTGTAATCCCAGCACTTTGGGAGGCTGAGGCCGGCAGATCACGAGGTCAGGAAATCGAGACCATCCTGGCCAACATGGTGAAACCTCATCTCTACTAAAAATACAAAAATTAGCTGGGTGTGGTGGCATGCACCTGTAATCCCAGCTACTCGGAGGGGCTGAGGCAGGAGAATGGCTTGAACCCGGGAGGTGGAGATTGCAATGAGCTGAGATCACGCCACTGCACTCCAACCTGATGACAGAGCAAGACTCCGTCTCAAAAAAAAAAAAAAAGAAGAAGAAAGGTAGAAGGAACTAAAAGATTCCTTCTACTAAAACTAACTACATTCTACTTAAGGTGGTAAAAAGTTGATATTAATAGACTGTAATAAGTTATCTACATATATATTCCTAGAGCAATCACACAAAAAACTTTATAAAGAGATACACTCAAAATGAAATATTAAAAAATGTTCAAGGAACCCACTGTAAAACAGGAAAGGGGAAACAGAAGAACAAAAATAATGAATGAAACAAAAATGGCAAATTTAAATCCAAAGTATCAATAATTATATTAAATATAAATGGTTTATACATACCAACGAAAAGAAATTAGTAGAACTGATTCTTTTAAAAAAGAACCCAACTAGACCACGTGTAATGGTTTACGCTTGTAATCCCAGCACTTTGGGAGACCAAGGTAGGTGGATCACTTCAGCCCAAGACTTCGAGACCAGCCTGGGCAACATGGCAAAACCCTGTCTCTACCAAAAAAACCCCAAACAAAACAAAAATTAGCCAGGCATGATGGCATGCATCTGTAATCCCAGCTACTCAGGAGGCTGAGGTGGAGGGCTGATTGAGCCTAGGAGGTTGAGGCTGCAGTGAGCCATGATTGCACCACGGCACTCCAGCTTGGGTGACAAAAGTGAGACCCTGTCTCAAAAAAAAAAGACCTAGGCCAGGCATGGTGGCTCATGCCTATAATACCAACACTTTGGGAGGCCCAGGCAGGCATACTGCTTGAGCCCAGGAGTTCAAAACCAGCCTGGGCAACATAGCAAGACCCTGTCTCTATTAAAAAAAGAAAAGAAAAGACCCAACTATATGCTATCTATAAGAAACTTACTTCAAATATAGTTATGTGTCACTCAGTAAGGACACATTCTGAGATATGCACCATTATACAATAAGGTGAGAAGGTAAATAAGTACAGCCATTATGGAAAACATGTATGGAGGTTCCTCAAAAAATTAAAAATAAGGCTGGGTGCAGGGGCTCATGGCTATAATGTCAGCACTTTGGGAGGCCAAGACAGGAAGACTGCCTGAAGCCAGGAGTTTGAGACCAGACTGGTCAATATTGTGAGACCCTGTCTCTACAAACGATTTTTTTTTTTTTTGAGTTGGATTTTCACTCTTGTCGCCCAGGCTGGAGTGCAATGGCGAGATCTTGGCTTACTGCAACCTCTGCCTCCCGGGTTCAAGTGATTCTCCTGCCTCTCAGCCTCCCAAGTAGCTGGGATCATAGGCATGCACAGCCACGCCCGGCTAATTTTTTTGTATTTTTAGTAGAGATGGGGTTTTACCATGGCAGTCAGGCTAGTGTCAAACTCCTGACTTCAGGTGATCCACCCGCCTAGGCCTCCCAAATTGCTGGGATTACAGGCGTGAGCCACCACACCTGGACTCTACAAACAATTTTTAAAAATTAGCTGACTATAGTGGCATGTGCCTGTAGTAGCGAAGCTGAAGTAGATCACTTGAGCTTACAGTGAGTTATGATTGCAGAACTGTGCTACAGCCTTGGAGACACAGCGAGACCCTGTCTCTAAACAAACAAAATTAAAAAACAAAAAAAAATTTAAATAGAACTACTATATGATTCAGTAATTCCCCCTATTGGATATATATCTAAAGGATATAACTAATATGGGTATGTTGAAGAGATATCTGTACTACTATGTTCATTGCAGCATTATTCACAATAGCTAAGATATGAAATCAACCTAAGTGTTTTCATTCATTGATGGATGAATGGTGAAAGAAAATGTGGCATACATACACAATGGAACACTATTCAGCCTTAAAAAAAGAATAAATTCTGTCATTTGTGATAACATGGATAAACCTGGAGGACATTATGTTAAACGAAATAAGCCAGACATAGAAAGACAAATATCACATGATCTCACTTACACGTGGAATGTAAAAAGTTGAATTCATAGAAATAGAGAGTAAAATGGTGGTTACTAGAGGTTGGTGGGTAGGGGAATTGGGGAAATACTGAACAAAGGACACAAAATTCAGTTAGGAGGAATAAGTTCAAGAGATCTATTGTACATCATGGTGACTACAGTTAATAACAATATATTGTATGTATTTTTAAAAAGGATATTAATATGTTATTTTTATTGAACAAAGTAGCATTACAGAAAAGGTGATTTCAGGGGCCGGGCACAGTGGCTCACCACTCTAATCCCAGCACTTTGGGAGGCTAAGGCAAGCAGATCACCTGAGGTCAGGAGTTTGAGATCAGCCTGACCAACATGGCGAAACACCGTCTTGACTAAAAATACAAAAATTAGCTGGGTGTGGTGGCGTATGCCTGTAATTCCAGCTACTCGGGAGGCTGAGACAGGAGAATTGCTCGAATCAGGGAGTCAGAGGTTGCAGTGTGCTGAGATGGCGCCACTGCACTCCAGCCTGGTGACAGAGCGAGACTCCATCTCAAAAAAAAAAAAAAAAAAAAAGGTTCTAATTGAAAGCCCTTGGGTGAAGCATACCTGGGAACCTGTACTACTGCAGCTTTCTGAGTCTTAAATTATTAAAAAATAAAATGTTTTAAAAAAAGTTCACATATACAAATAGGTGAGTGTAGTCTAGGCATTATTTAAAACAAATAATGAACAAGTATTTGCACTATGAGATTATATTAATACAATAATATGTGGCAATGGTACAGATACAGATTTATAAACAAGGAAGTCTGTATACATAAGTATTGGGAATATGATAAAAAATACCCGGTGGCTCATGCCTTGTAATCCTAGTACTTTGGGAGGCCGAAGTGGGCAGGTCGCTTGAGCCCAGGAGTTCAAGACCAGGCTCAGCAACATGGTGAAATATAGTCTCTACAAAAAAATGCAAAAATTAGCTGGGTGTAGTGGCACTTCTGTAGTCCCAGCTACTTGAGAGGCTGAGGTGGGACAATCACCTGAGCCTGGGGAGGTAGATGCCGCAGTGAGCCATGATTGTGCCACTGTACTCCAGCCTGGACAAAATCATTTAGGAATCCGCAGAAAATTTTCATAGATTATTTAGTAAACAGTACTAGAAACTGCTGAACTACTCAGCAAAAATTAGGTCTCTATTTCATGCAATATTCCAAAATGGTTTAAAGTTTTAAGTATATAAATAACAATAATACAATGGAATGTAAATAAGTACCAATAAACTATAAAACAATTTGAAGAAAACATTTGAAAATATTTGTCTGTTCTCAGGCTGAGGTAGCCTTCCTAAATATTAAAAAGAAATATTTAATAGTTTCTAATACATAAGATATTTAAACTCTTATGTGTCAACAAAACATCATAAACTGAAAATAAATCAAAATAAGAAATCTGAAAGAAAATGTTTAAATTAAAAAAACTAGAAAAGGCTGGCCATGGTGGCTGCATCTGTAATCCCAGCACTTTGGGAGGCTGAGGGAGGCAAATCACTTGAGGTCAGGAGTTTTGAGACCACCCTAGCCAACATCGTGAAACCCCATCTCTACAAAAATTATAAAAATTAGCTGGGCGTGGTGGCGTGCGCCTGTAATCCCAGCTACTTGGGAGGCTGAGACACAAGAATCATTTGACCCCAGAAGGTGGAGGTTGCAGTGAGCAGAGATGGCACCACTGCATTCCAGCCTGGGTAACAGAGTGATGATCTGTCTCAAAAAAAAAACCCAACCAACCAACCAACCAACCAACCAACCAAAAGAAAGAACCCCAAAAAACAAGCTAGAAAAAACATTTGCAAAATGTTACAGGCAAAAGGTTAA
Source organism: Homo sapiens (assembly GCF_000001405.40). Lineage (NCBI taxonomy): Eukaryota > Metazoa > Chordata > Mammalia > Primates > Hominidae > Homo > Homo sapiens. Next base: position 2,933,371 of record NC_000020.11, on the reverse strand, counting down.
ATAACCTTATTAAATGAGGTATTTACAAATTAGTAAGTACAAACACAACCATGGAAAGATGGATAAAAGCTATGAATAGGCAATTCATAAAAAGTAAAATAATGATAAACAACTGAAAAAATTCATCTTTGCTAACAAAGAAAAGCAAATTAAAGCAACATGGTACTTTTCTTACCTCTCAAATAGGCATGTATTTATAAAAGTGACAAAATTTAAATGTTCATAAGCTAAGGGGAAAAGAACCTCAAAGTGTACTGCTATAATTGTAATCTCTCTGACATTTATGTAATCTACTGATTTGGGACTTAGTCTATAATGCCATGTGCCATTTGCTAAACTTGCTTTTTACATATATGATCTATCTCCCCAATAAAACCAGAAACCTCAGGATAGTAGCTTTTACTTTTTTTTCCCAAGATTAAAATAAAAACCAACAGGTAGTAGGCATCCAATATTGTTTTTAATGATGTTAGTGAAAATTATAAAACCTCTGAATCAGAGAAGAGTGAATAAAAGTACACCCCCAGCCTACAACTCCCTAATCTACAGAAAGTGCCATCCTGATTCCTGGATTATACTTACCATCTGGTTCCACCATTCCTATCTCAGGCTGCCAACTACTGCTTAGGAGTATCACACTCCTCAGTGCTGTGCAGAAAACATATCCTTCCTTTGTCAGTTTCCTATGTCAGTTTCTAGCACAGCAGCCCAAGCTCCCTCTGAGCAGATGGCTGACAAGAGGACATGACCTCTCTCTCCTCTATAGAGCCTCTATTCTCCCTTTTTAGACTAGAGGAAGAGATTCCCTCATCCTTTTTAAGGCTACTGCCCATGTTCTTGATCCCATTTGAGATCTTTCCCCTAAAATTATGCATTTCCTTCTGGTACTTTCCATTTTTCCATCCCTAACCCTCATACCCCTTTGTTTACAAATAGACACGGATGTTCTAAACAGATTTTTAGAGCTTTAACTCTATGAGCTTCTCTTTTCCTCATTACTACTAAACTTGTATAAGATGTACTTGGCTTTCATTTCCTCACTTTCCACCTCTACTTAACAACCTCATTATGATCTTAATTCCTTCATTCTCCCTTAACAACCTCATTATGTTCTTAAATCCTTCGTTCTCAAATCTACAAATAACCTCCTGATTAAATCTAATTCCTGCCCTCAGTTTTCATTCTCCTTGACTTGCATTTGACATGTTATGGTCAACTTATTCTCAAAAGCTTCTCTGTTTCCTGGTTCTCTTTGACACAATGACTACTCAATTTTAGCTTTTCTTCTACCATTCACACATCAAAATTTTATTTGGGTCCTATTAAGGACCAGGCATTGGATTAAATGTTAGGGGATGCAAGGAAGAAAAAAGTTAAAGTTCTTATTCTCAAGTTGATGTGTTCATTTTCCAAGTCGGTCAGTCAGTCAGTCATTCAACAGACTTCCATTGAAAAGCCAGGCACTGTGCTAGATGATGGCCTTTAAAAAGCCAGGGCCATTGGTGCATGCCTGTAGTCCCAGCAACTCAGGAGGCCTGAGGGAGGAGGTTCGTTTGAGGCTGCAGTGAGCTATGATTATGCCATGGCACTCATGCCTGGGTAACAGAATGAGACCCAGTCTCTTACACACACACACACACACACACACACACAAGCCAAGACCCGTCCCTGCCTTCACTGAGTTCATGGCAAAGGAAGTAAGTAAGCAATGCCACATTTGTTCCAGGTGTCATGACAGAGAAGTCAAATCCATTTGTTTCAGGGGCTAGGGAATGAGGGTCTACAGTATTGGCTTCCTGATCTTCTGTTCTTCTCGCCATATCCTTTCTCCCACACAAAGGCTCAAATCAAAACAAAGGGTTTTGATTATCACCTCCATTATCTCACTTCTGAACATACATCACCATTCTCCAAGTGCCTGCTGACTGTCTATCACCTTACACTGTAAACCAAATTAATTACCTTCCCTTTAAACCCAATTTATTCTCTAGACATCTTTATTTCTGTTAAGGATTCCACCACTGTCTCAGACTCTCCGGTGCCAGTTTACATACTACTTTTTCGAAATGTCTCTTTTCCCAGGTTCTCTCTGGTCTTTCTACTTGCATAACCACCAACCCATTTCATGCCTCTATCACCTCACACCCAGTGTTACATCCAAGCTAGGCTAAATCATCTGACTCACAGGGAGAGAGAGGGAGCTTTTAAAAAACAGTCCTGGGTCTCCAGTCTGAAGATTTGGGTTTGGGATATCTTGAGTGGGAGCCCCAGAATCCTGGTTTTCCATAACATTGATCTGGTCCAGACTCCCAGTGGTCCAGACTCTGGTCTACTGACTTCCAGTGCAGCTAACATCTCTCCAACCCCATCCCCAAGGAGTCTTCCTAAAGTGTTAGATTCATCCTGCTCAAAGTTTTCAATGGTTTCCCACTGAATAAACAATAGATTTGAAAATATCTGGATTGATATATAGGAAATGCTTCACAGTTTGGCCCCTGTTATGGGTTGAACTATGCCTCCCCAAAAAAGATATGAAGTCCTAATCCCCAGTACCATAGGATGTGACCTTATTTGGAAATAGGGTCGTTGAAGATGTAATTAGTTAAATAAAGATGAGGTCATTCTGGAGTACTGTGGGCCCCTAATCCAATATGACTGGTGTCCTTATAAGAAGATAATCATGTGAAAACAGACAGGGAAAATGCCAATTGAAGAAAGAGGATTTGAGTGATCATTTACAATCCAAATAACACAGGGGGCTCTTGGAAGCTAAGGAGAGATGCATGGGACAGATTCCCCCCAAGAAGGAACCAACACTGCCAACACCTTGACTTTGGGCCTCCAGAACTGCCAGACAATATATTTCTGCTGTCTTTAGCCACCGAGTTTATGGTACTTTGTTTGGGCAGCACCAGGAAATTAATATGGGTCCCCAAACTACATTTGCAACCTCATCTTTCACTGTTGAACTCACTCTCTGTTAAAGTCAAACTGGTGTAAAATTCTTACACTACTGAGCTTTTCTTTCATAAGCACTCTACTTCTGGAATCCTTTTTTCACCTACCACAAAATCATACCATATGTTAGTGGCCAGCTCGTATTTTACTTTGTCTCGATGCTTCCCATCCATCCTGCTATTCTCAGTAATGGCACTACATGCACAATACAACGAAATGCATAATAATTTACCAAATGCTGCAATGCACCAAGCCTTCTTAAATGTCTATATTCATTTGGTAGGGCTGCCATAAAAGTATCACAGACTCGGTGGGTTCAACAACAGAAATTTATTTTCTCACAGCTGTACAGGCTAGAAGTCCAAGATGAAAGTGTCAGCAAGTTTGGTTTCCTATGAGACCTCTCTCCTTGGCCTGCAGATGGCCACCATCTTACTGTATCCTCACCTGGTCATTCCTCTGTGTATTTGTTTCTGATGTCTGCGTGTACAAATTTCCTTTTCTTACAAGGACACCAGTCACATCAAATTAGAGCCCACCCTAAAGACCTCTTTTAATCAACTACTTAAAATTTTTTTTTCCTTTCTTTGAGACAGGGTCTTGTTCTGTTACTCAGGCTGGAGTGCAGTGGTGCAAACATGGCTTACTGCAGCCTCGAGCTCCTGGGCTCAAGCAATCCTCCCACTTCAGGCTCTGGAATAGCTGGGACCACGGGCATGTACTACCACGCCTGGGTAATTTGTGCATTTTTTGTAGAGATGGGATCTCCCCATGTTTCCCAGGCTGGTCTCAAACTCCTGAGCTCAAGCAATCCTCCTGCCTCAGCCACCCAAAGTACTAAGATTACAAACATGAGCTACCATGCCCGGTCTTTAAAGACCATCTCCAAGAACATTTTATGGTCATTTTCTTAAATATCAGTACATAAAATCCTACCACACTCTCATTAATGACCACACAGTGTTCAAAAGAAGGGATGGGACACACATCAAGCAAATAAAAAGGAATGTGTGAACACACAACAGAGGCTAAATAAAACTGAAGAAATACAAAGAACAAAAGAGTATTACAGGGCCAATGCTGTGGTCAACTATTAACGTTCATACAGGAAAAGAAAGCGGGGAGAAGACTAGTTTAAGAAACAGTAAAAGAAAAAACAGCAGGCCAGGTGTGGTGGCTCACACCTGTAATCCCAGCACTTTGGGAGGCTGAGGCAGGTGGATCGCTTGAGCCTAGGAGTTCAAGACCAGCCTGGCAACATGGTGAAACCCTGTCTCTACTAAAAAATACAAAAATTAGCCAGGTGTGGTGGCATACTCCTGTAGTCCCCAGAGGCAGAAGGATCACTTGAGCTCAGGAGTTTGAGACCAGCCAGGGCAACACAGTGAGACCCTGTCACTACTAAAAATAAAAAAAATTAGCTGGGTGTAGTAGCGCATGCCTATAGTTCCAGCTACTTGGAAAGCTGAGGTGGGAGGATTGCTTGAACCTGGGAGCTCGAGGCTGCAGTGAGCTGTGATGGCACCACTGAACTCCAGTCTGGGCCACAGGGTGAGACCCTGTCTCAAAAAAAAAAAAAAAAAGAGAGAAAAAAAGATTAGGAGATAAAGTTATGACAATCTCCAGGAAAACAACCAAAAGCAAAGAGTTTTTAAAAAGGACAGAATAGATAAGAACATTATATGAACAACCCAGGAAGCTCAATATCAGAAAGCTGCTGACAGAAAAGAACCAAAAAATGGAGAGCTATGAGTCTGCAGATCTATTAAGGGGCCCACCAAGTACACCTCTATGGAATTCCAGACTATATAGAACATAAAAGCTTCCAGAAAAGAAGAAAAATTAATTTCCTATATGAAACTTTCTATTTCTCATGAACAACAAGGGATGTCAGAAGAAATGGAGCAATGACTTCAAAGTTTTGAGGAAAAATAATAGGCAACCTAGAATTCTATAGTCAACCAAACCATCACTCCAACATGAGGGTCTTAAAAACAGACACCAGAGGCTGGGTACGGTGGCTCACGCCTGTAATCCCAGCACTTTGGGAGGCCAAGGAGGGCAGATCAGCTAACACAGTGAAACTCCATCTCTACTAAAAATACAAAAAATTAGCCAGGCGTGGTGACAGGCGCCTATAGTCCCAGCTACTTAGGAGGCTGAGGCAGGAGAATGGCATGAACCTGGGAGGCGAAGCTTGCAGTGAGCCAAGATCGCGCCACTGCACTCCAGCCTGGGCAACAGAGCGAGACTCCGTCTCCAAAACAAACAAACAACAACAACAACAACAACAAAAAACGGATACCAGAAAGAGTCAAAATTTATCTGCCAGGTACCTTTTCTCTCAGTAAGTGACTTGAGAATGAACTCTGGTAAGATAGATTGATTGACTGATTGATTGACTGAGATGGAGTCTCACTCTGTCGCCTAGGCTGCAGTGCAATGGTATGATCTTGGCTCACTGCAACCTCCACCACCCGGGTTCAAGCAATTCTCCTGCCTCAGCCTCCCGACTAGCTAGGATTACAGGCACCCACCACCACGCCTGGCTAATTTTTGTATTTTTAGTAGAGACAGGGTTTTGCCGTGTTGGCCAGGCTGGTCTTGAACTCCTGGCCTCAAGTGATCCACCTGCCTCAGCCTCCCAAAGTGCTGGGGTTACAGGCATGAGCCACCATGCCCCCTAGCCTCTAGTAAGATTTAAAAAACAAATACAAAGAAAGACTGATATCCAAGATCAGTGGACCCAACCTCCCCTGCACCCCCGTCAAAGAAAAACCAGTAAGGAAAATACCAATATGACTGTGTAGACAGCCTAAAAAACAGTGCCCACTGGTCTCGGATTGGAGTGTACGACTAGCCTAAATTTGGGCCACAGTGTATGGTTTGAACTAGCCTTGACAGGCTGGAGTGTATGATTGAGATCTTGGTGAAAAGTGAAACTATAATAACAGGCAAATAGACAAGAAAATTAGAAACTCCAGGGAGAAAATTTTATGAGAAAGTTACGGTTCAAATATAAAATATAAAGACATGATTGGAAGCAACTGATAGTTTCAGAGAGAGAATTCACTTTTTCTTCATTTTCTCATTTGAATAGCCCAGGGTCTATGACATTGAACCTACAGAGAAAGAAATAAAAACCCAGAAAATGCTGCCTGGCCTGACAGTGAACAATATTTACTTAGCTATAATAACATAAATATTAAGTGGGCGCGGCACTCACGACTGTAATCCCAGCACTTTGGGAGGCTGAGGAGGGCGATCATGAGGTCAGGAGATCCAACAGGTGAAACCCTGTCTCTACTAAAAATACAAAAATTAGCCAGGTGTGGTGGCATATGCCTGTAATCCCAGCACTTTGGGAGGCCGAGGCGGGCGGATCACTTGAGGCCAGAAGTTTGAGACCAGCTTGGCCAACAAGGTGAAAACCTGGCTCTACTAAAAATACAAAAATTAGCCGGGCGTGGTGGCGGGTGCCTGTAATCCCAGCTACTTGGGAGGCTGAGGCAGGAAAATCACTTCAGCCTAGGAGGCAGAGGTTGCAGTGAGCCAAGATCACACCACTGTACTCCAGCCTGAGCGACAGACCAAGACTCTGTCTCAAAAAAATAAAAAGTAAAAAAAAAAAAAAAAAAAAAAAAGGAAAAGGAAAAAGGAAAGGAAGAAAGAAGGAAAGAGTGCTGAAAATTAACCTAAAAAAAGGAGGTTGAAGAGTACTTCCGAAAGTTAGAAATGTAATCACTTTATGGGTTTGTTTTGTTTTGTTTTTGAGACAGAGATTTGTTCTGTCACCCAGACTGAATTGTGTCCCCTAAAAGATGTTAAAATTGTAACCCCCTACTCAGTTCCTGTGAATGTGAACTTATTTAGAAAGAGGATTTTTGCATATGATCAAGTTGAGATGAGCTCATTAGGGTGGTCCCTAATCCAATGACTAGCGCACTTATTTTGAAAAAGGAAATTTGGACACAAGAGACAGATATGCATAGAGGGAAGACAATCTGAAGATACAGAGAGAATGCCATCTACAATGTAAGGGATGCCTGAGGCTACCAGAAGCTAGAAGAAAATCATAGAACAGATTCTCCCGCACAGCCCGCAAGACTTCTAGCCTCCAAAACTCTGAGACAATAAATTTCTATTGTTTAAGCCACCCAGTTCATGGAGTTTTGTTACAGAAGTCTGAGGAAACTAATAAACAGCAGCAGAACAGGAAATAATACAAATATTAAATGGGGGGATAGTGTAAGGTAAATTCCCATTTTTTCACACTGGAGAGGCAAAGAATTATGTTGTCTTTTTTATTAATAAAAGAATTAAGAAGAAACAGCATATACATATAATTTAGAATTATGGAGGTCACCAAAAAGCAGAATGTAAAGAAATTGAAGCCCTTGTGCATTGCTGGTGGGAATATAAAATGATGCAGTACTGTGAAAAACAGCATGGTGATTCCTCAAAAAATGAAACATGGAGTTACCATATGATCCAGTAATTTTACTTCTAAGAATATACTCAAAAGAACTAAAAGCAGGGACTCGAACAGATGTTTGTACATCCATGTGTTTTTTTTTGTTTTTGTTTTTGTTTTTTCAATTGAGACAGCCTCACTCTGTCACCCAGGCTGGAGTGCAGTAGCACCATCTGGGCTCACTGCAACCTCTACCTCCTAGGTTCAAGCGATTCTCCTGCCTCAGCCTCCCAAGTAGCTGGGAATTACAGGCATGCAGCACCATGCCTGGCTAATTTTTGCATTTTTGGTAGAAATGGGGTTTTGCCATGTTGTCCAAGCTGGTCTTGAACTCCTGACCTCAAGTGATCCGCCTGCCTCGGCCTCCCAAAGTGCTGGGATTACAGGCGTGAGCCACCACACTCAGCCTACACCCATGTTCATAGCACCATTAGTCACAACAGCCAAAAGGTGGAAGCAGCCCAAGTGTCCATCAGTGAATGAATGGATACACATAAAGTGGTATAAACATACAACAGAATATTATTCAACCATAAAATGTAAATTCTGATATATGCTACAACATGGATGACTTGAAAACAAGGTCATCCTATGTGAAATAAACAAGATACCTTTGTGAAATAAACCTATGTGAAACAAACCAGATGTCAAATGACAAATATGATTCCACTTATACGAGGTAACTATTATAGTCAAATTCATAGAGACAGAAGGTAGAATGGTTGCCAGCAGCTGGGGGAGGAGGAAATGGGGAGTTAGTGTTTAATGGATATGGAGTTTCAGTTTGGGGAGATGAAAAAGTTTTGGAGATGGACAGTGGTGATGGCTGCACAACAGGAATGTACTTAATGCCAATGAATTGTATACTTTAAAAGTAGTTAAAATGATAAATTTAATCTTATATATATTTTACCATGAGAAAAGTATGTATATGAACACATTAAGATGTAAAACCTTTTCAGGCCGGGCGCGGTGGCTCATGCCTGTAATCCCAGCACTTTGGGAGGCAGAGGCAGGCGGATCATGAGGTTGGGCAATCGAGACCATCCTGGCCAACATGGTGAAACTCTGTCTCTATTAAAAATACAAAAATTAGCTGGGCGTGGTGGCGCGTGTCTGTAATCCCAGCTACTTGGGAAGCTGAGGCAGGAGAATTGCTTGAACCCAGGAAGCGGAGGTTGCAGTGAGCTGAGATCACACCACTGCACTCCAGCCTGGTGACATAGCAAGACTCAGTCTCAAAAAACAAAACAAAACACCTTTTCGGTGCTGCAGAGGCTCTCTCATACCTCTTTCCAGTCACAACCTCCCACCTCCTGTCAGAGGAAGTAGGGATATGACCTTTATCACTGTAGTTTAGTTTTACTCGGTAATTCTGCTACATCTACTTTTTCTTGTCCATCTGGTTTCTTTCACTCAACCTTTTATCTACGAGATTCATCCATGTTGTCATGTCTACTGGTAGTTTGTTCCTTTCTATTACTGAATAAAATTCCATGTTATCAATAGTGTATGTCAATTTTTTGTTGTTGTTGATACATAGTCTCGCCCTGTTGCCCAGATTGGATGGAGTGCAGGGGCGTGATCTCACCTCACTGCAACTTCTGCCTCCTGGCTTCAAGCCATTCTCCTGTCTTAGCCTCCTGAGTAGCTGGGATTACAGGCGTGAGCCACCACACTCAGCTCATTTTTGTAATTTTAGTAGAGATGGGGTTTCACCATGTTGACCAGGCTGGTCAACTGATCTGCCCGCCTTAGCCTCCCAAGTGCTTAGATTACAGGTGTAAGCCACCACACCTGACCATATATCACAATTTGTTTAACTATTCTCCTGTTTTTGGACACCTGATTGGGTTACAGTTTTTCTGGCTATAATACATAAAGCTGCAGTGAACATTTGTATGTGCACTTTTGTGTAGACATATATTTTTCATTTCTCAAAGGTGGATACCTAGAATTGAAATTCCTGGGTTATTAGATACGTGTATGTTTTGCAGATATTGCCAAAGAGTTTTCTAAAACTATAGAGTTGGTTTACATTCCCACTTAAAAAACTTGGAGATCATCTGTGATCTACTCAAGAAGCTTTAATTCAATGCTGGCAGGGCATTAACTTTGGTCTTTTTATTTTTATTTTTTTGAGAAGGAGTTTCATTCTTTGGTGCCCAGAATGGAATGCAGTGTGCGATCTCAGCTCACTGCAACCTCTGTCTCCTGGGTTCAAGGGATCCTCCTGCTTCAGCCTCCCGAGTAGCTGGGATTACAGGCACATGCCACCACATCTGGCTAATTTTTGTATTTTTGGTAGAGATGGGGTTTCACCATGTTGGCCAGGCTGGTCTTGAACTCCTGACCTCAAGTGATCTGCCCGCCTCGGCCTCCCAAAGTGCTGGGATTACAGGCGTGATCCACCATGCCCAGCCTGACTTTGGTCTTTTTTTTTAAAAAAAAAAAGCTCTTCAAGTGATTCTGATTCATAATCAGGTTAAGAAGTATCTTAAAGGATAATTACAATGTTTATAATAATAAAAAAATAAGCTACTCTTACAGCTTAGAAACGAAATGAAGCAGGAAAGCATGTGATGTTAGCTTTATTTAAGGACACTACTTGGCTGGCAAAAGCCTCCTCACAGTTCTGGTTTTATTTCTCTTACCTTAGTTATTTGAACTGCATCATCCATTACCACTCAGTGGAATTCCATAAATACCTTTGTTTTTTTTTAGTTGTGTCACCTGCAACAAAAGGAAAAATACCTTTAGAAATATACAACATCCCTGAGCAGATTGTTCTAGCTTAGGAATTCAAGCCCAGCCTAGGCAACATGCAAAATCCCATCTCCACAAAAAGTAGCCAGGCAGGGTGGCACATGCCTATAATCCCAGCTACTTAGCAGGCTGAGGTGGGAGGACTGCTTGAGCCCAGAAGGTGGAGTTTCCAGTGAGCTGAGATTGTGCCACTGCACTCCAGCCTGGGAACAGAATGAGACCCAGTCTCAAAAGAAAATAGCCAGGAGCGGTGGCTCATGCCTGTAATCCCAGCACTTTGGGAGGCCGAGGTGGGTGGATCACTTGAGGTCAGGAGTTTGAGACCAGCCTAGCCAACATGCTGAAATCCTGCATCTACTAAAAATACAAAAATTAGCTGGGCATGGTGGCACGCATCTCTAATCTCAGCTGTTCAGGAGGCTGAGGTAGAATTGCTTGAACCCGGGAGGCAGAGGCTGCAGTGAGCCCAGATCGCGCCACTGCACTCCAGCTCAGGCGACAAAGTCAGACTCCATCTCAAAAAGAAAAATAAGGCCAGGTGCGGTGGCTCATGCCTATAATCCCAGCACTTTGGGAGGCCGAGGCAGGCGGATCACCTGAGAAGTCAGGAGTTCGAGACCAGCCTGGCCAACATGGTGAAACCCCGTCTCTACCAAAAATACAAAAATTAGCCAGGCACGGTGGTGGGTGTCTGTAATCCCAGTTACTTGGGAGGCTGAGGCAGGAGAATTGCTTGAACCCAGGAGGGGGAGGTTGCAGTGAGCCGAGATCGTGACAGTGTACTCCAGCCTGGGCAACAGAGTGAGACTCCATCTCAATCAATCAATCAATCAATCAATAAAACAGCCCTATTTAAACATTATGGATTGTTTTGGAGAGTGGAGTATATCCTAACAAGATGTTTCACAGGGGTGTGCTTAAAATTCCAGGAGCCACAGAACAAAGCTCCATCTTAAATAGTTCAGATTTCTGAATAGCTCATAGGTCTTTCCAGTAAGGGTAGTATAGAACACTCCTCCCTGTCCCAAAACTTGGACTATGCCACCATAGGGTTGTTTATATACCATTAGGCCCTTCCCTAGGGAACATATGGCAGTGTCTAAAGATAGTTTTGACTGTCACAACTAATAGCAGGGAGGCTGGGCTACTGGCATCTAGGGGATAGAGGCCTAGGATGCTGCTAAGCATCTTACAAATCACAGGACAACCCCCTATAACAAAGTATCCAGTCCCAAATGTCAACAATGCCAAGGCTGAAAATCTCTACATTGATCAAAGATCTATCTCTAGTCAATGACTGTGCAAAGTGGTAGTACAAGAGCCTAGCCATTTCTACCTCTTGTGGTATTCCTCTATCAGGCAATCTGGGTGGGCAGAGACTTCGTCAGGTGTGCACTGCAGTCTGATGGCTCCCTATACCCAAACATGTTCCGTTCCCCTTTTCTTCACAGGCATTACTCCTCTAATAAGCCCTTTGCCCCTCCAACCCCATCTGTGTCTGCTTCCTGTAGAATCCAGCTGGCACATAAATTAACATTCACGTTCACACTGAATGGAGTGCGCATTCACATTGTTGGAGAAACAAGAATCACTGGGGGGAAAAAAGAGTCCCAATAAATAAACCAAAATGTTAAAAATTCTAAACTTTTGTACTATCCAGTATTCCATAACAACCATCTATTATTTATACATAATAAAGAAAATATTAAAGTAAGACTTTATACTAGATTTTGCTCGTGAAGACATGTTCTAATGGCAGGCTAAATTGGTATACTCTGTATATACAGTGTACCCAAATTCAAGGAAGGGTGAACAACTGTTGGTGTTCTTCAAAAAAAAAAAAAAAAAAAAGCGCATTCCCAGGTACTAAGGAAATAAAAGATCAGACAATGGGCTTCACAGACATCTCGTAAGCTCAGCTTCCTCATTTGTTAAATCAAAGTTGTACTATTAATAGTTTAAACTAAAAACTTTTAGAAGAGACTACAGAGCCCATTCAGTTTGCCCTCCTGCTTTCAGAGATGAGACCAATGTCCCAGACAGAACGACAGTAACCGGGCAAGCAAAGCAGAGTTGTTGGCCTTGCTTCTCAATGCCTGGGTCCATTTCTCTTTCCAGGTACAATGTAATGCACCTAAATGAAGAAAGCACATTAAGCAAACAGTTCCAAAAAGGTTACAATATTAAGATTATTCCAAGAACTATTCAAAATCTAGCCCTTCACTCCATCATGAAAACTGAATGGTGGCATCTGATACTGCCATTCCAGGCTTTCTTTCTGAGTACTCACTCCCTCAGCACATAAATAGCCTCAAGGCTTTAACATCTTAAAAAAACCTCTCTAGAACAAACTACATTCCCAATGCCCCCCATCCCAGCCATCACTTTCCCCCCTTTCCTCCCGGTCAATATTCTCAATAGTTCATACTCTCCCACCTCAAACCAGGGGCCTCTGACATACACCCTCACCTGGCCTCTACAGAAACTGCTCTTGATTCATCAGTCAACAATGATCTCAAATTACAGGATCTGACCACCCTAAAATTCCCATCATCACTCCCTCAGAATTTCCTCTCCTCAGCAGAAGCACCTAGAACTATCCCTTAAATGTTGGTGTTCCTGGTGTCCCATCTTCCAATCTTCTCACTCTGTACCAGTGGCTGCACATTAGAGTTGCTGGGGGAGCTTTCAAAAAATTCTGGTGCCCAAGTCCAGCTCAGGTGCATCATAATCTTGGGAAAGAGGGAGTTGGGGTTGGGTTCCTGGAAATGTCTGTCTGGTTTTGTTTGGTTTTAAGCACTACAGGTGATTCCAATGTGCAGACAGGGCTAAAAATTGCACTCCTCCATCCAGTCTTCTTGATCTCCTCCTTTCCTCCCACATCCATTTCCAGCCTCAAGCTCTTTCCAAACTCCAAACCTATAAATTCCCTTGCCTTCTAGACCTGCATATTCACAAGTACCTCTGATTCAAATAATCAACACTCACAGAAATGTTATCTTCTCCTGTATCTGTTCTTCCTTAATTGCTTGTTTCAATGGATAAAAATTACCACCTACTCATTGAGTTAGCAAACTTTTTCTGTAAAGAGCCACACAGTAAATGTTTGGCTCTGCAGGCCAAACAGCCTTTGTCACAATTACTCATCTCTGCTGTTGTGACAAAAAAGCAGTCATAGATATGTAGTTTCAGCATAGCTATATTCTAATAAAACCTTATTTATGAACATGTAAATGTTAATTTTATATAATTTCCACGTTACAAAATAGTATTCTTCTTTTGATATTTTTCCAACCACTCAAAGATGTAAGAAACATTTGTAGTTTGTGGGCTATGCAAAAACTGGCATTGGGTTGTAGTTTGCCAATCCAGGTCTACCCCCTTGCCAAGCTAGAAATCCTAGTTGACCCAATTACTTTCTTTCCCTTAGCCCTAGAGTCAATCATTAACTCTTTAACTGTTTATGGCCTCCCCCAGCTGAGAGTAAGCTACTTTAACTGTTTATGGCCTCCCCCAGCTGAGAGTAAGATCCTTGAGAGTGAGTGGAGGTTGCAGTGAACTATGATTTTGCTACTGCACTCCAGCCTGGGTGGCAGGGCAAGATCCCGTCTCTAAAAGAAAAATAAAAAGATCCTTGAGGGTAAGGACTGTGTCTTGATAATATCCACAGAGCCTAGCAAAGTGTCCAGTACACTGTAGGCAATCTTCCTTTAAGTCTTTCCCTTAGTTCAAAACACACAGAAATTCCACCACCATGAAAGGCCATTATATATCCTATTAATTTGAATCTTTCTTTATTCTAAGGCATCCGTTTCTTTTTAGTTTAACTTATTACTGAACCTGATAGTAAGGTTTAAAGGGAGGAAAAAACCCAGCAAATTTTAAAATGCATTAAATAAAGGCTCAGGCAGACATGGCCCACATTTCTTATTAAGCACAAGTCGTAATGATCATTGCTATTCGATTCTTTAATAACTGCTTAATTTCTGTTTTCTGGGTACTTTTTCTGCTTGGAAATTTGAGACAATCAACTTGGTCAAATCTTGGAAGATGTCAGTAAAATGGATGATTACCAATTATATATAATCAACACATCAAAAAGCAGCAGCTCAACAAGGATCAGAATAAAAACAGGTATTATATATTAAAGTATTTACTACGTGTCAGACACTGTATCAAATTGTACAATGCACATTATTTAAGGTTACCTTCAAAACAGCACAGGAAATAGATACTTCATTTTGAAGATACTACCAATGAAGAAACTATGGTACAGAGTAGTTATTAATAAATAACTTGTCCACAAACAACTGGTACATGGCAAGACTGAAACTCAAACCCAGGTGTACATGACTCCAAAATCTGCTCTTACCCACTAGCTAAACAAAGCCTATAATTCATGTATGTCAACAACCACATGAGGAAAAGAGCTTTATCCAAAAGGAGCTGAATGGAAGGTTTTAAAGCCCTGTTTGAAATGTATAACCGTCATATATTCCTAAGTATGGTGCAATGTGCACAGCCAGTGAGGCTTTCCAATCATGGTCTAACTAAATGAATACAACAAATGGGAAGAGCCAATTTGTGGATATGGCAGACCCTCCTACCCCAAAGACAGGAAATAAAACCTTGTCCACAAATCAAACAGAGTCCACAAATCAAAGAACATTACCATCCCCTACTGTTAACAGAGCCATTCATAGGAAGTCCCATGCTTACTACGGCAACCACTGGTCTTGCTGCTCACCATGTTTCTGCCTTTTTGCTTCCTCAGGAAGCAGACAGGAAAATCGCTCTCCTGATCTATTTTGTAAAGAGGAGCTGTCATTTAAAAATAGAGTTTTATAAGTGAGTATGTAGCCGGGCACAGTGGCATGTGCCTGTAATGCCCAGCTACTCCAGAGGCTAAGGCAGGATCACTTGAGCCCAACAGTCAGAGTTTAGCCTGGTCACCCTGTCTCGTTTTAAAAAAAAGAAGGAAAAGAGAATACGTACAAAGTAATTAATACTTTGCCTGACACCCAATATTTCTGTATACTAAACTCCATCTTTAAAAAACACTGTCTTTTTTTTTTTTTTTTTTTTTGAGACAGAGTCTCACTCTATCGCCCAGGCTGGAGTGCAGTGGTGCAATCTCGGCTCACTGAAACCTCTGCCACCCGGGTTCAAGTGATTCTCTTCTTCAGCCTCCAGAGTAGCTGGGATTACAGGCGCCTGCCACTCTGCCCAGCTAAGTTTTGTATTTTTAGTAGAAACGGGGTTTCACAATCTTGGCCAGGCTTGTCTTGAACTCCTGACCTCGAGATCCACCCGCCTCGGTCTCCAAAAGTGCTGGGATTACACTGCGCCCTAAAGTCTTACTTTTTTTTTTGAGATAGGTCTCACTATGTTGCCCAGGTTGGTCTAACTCCCAGGCTCAAGCAATCCTCCCACTTCAGCCTCTGGAGTAGCTGGGATTACAGGCATGTGCCACTACACCCAGCTCTATCTTTTTCTAATCTAGTAAAACAGCAATCTAGAAAATTATTAAAACTCTCCAGCTACCAAAATCTAGAAATGTTGGATAAATGCAAACATCCTTTGAAAAGCTTAGCTAAGTTCTTAAGAGAGGAGGGAAAACTACCAGTGGCAAGAAAGCAAAAAGTGAACCAAAGCTAAGGCTGGAAGTGTGAGCTGACCTCTGTATTGGGCCCAGGAGCATTTGTTAAGACTTTTGAATAACAAGGGAGGAAAGGAGACAGGAAATAGGAGAAGGGTAGGAAGGGCTCCAGAGAAATAATCTCTCATGAAATTGTGGCTCTCTTAAGGCCCAAGGTCTCAATGAAAATAGATCAGAGAAAATCTACCTCCAAGAACAAGGAGACCCTAAATAAATGGAAAGACATCTTATGTCTTTATTTATTTATTTATTTTTTCAAAAATAAAAAAGCTTTCATGTCTGTAATCCCAGCACTTTGGGAGGCCGAGGCCGGCGGATCACTTGGGGGTCAGGAGTTCGAGACCAGCCTGGCCAACATGCTGAAACCCCATCTCTACTAAAAATACAAAATTTAGTTGGGCGGATGGTGTGTGCCTGTAATCCCAGCTACTCGGGAGGCTGAGGCAGGAGAATTGCTTGAACCTGGGAGATGGAGGTTGCAGTGAGCCAAGACCACGCCACTGCACTCCAGCCTGGGCAATAGAGGGAGACTCTGTCTCAAAAAAAAAAAAAAAAGAAATAAAAAAACTGATCCTAAAATTTATATGGAATTGCAAGGGACTCCGAATGGCCAAAACAATCTTGAAAAGGAAGAACAAAGTTGGAGAACTCATACTTCCTGATTTCAAAACTTATTGCAAAGCACCGGTAACCAAAGCTGTGTGGTAATGGTATAAGGAGTGATATATAGATCAATGGAATAGTTTTAAATGAGTTCAGAAATAAATCCACAAATCTATAGTCAACTGATTTTTATTATTCTATTTTTTAGAGACAGTGTCTCACTCTGTCACCCAGGCTGGAGTGCAGTGGCACAATCAGAGCTCACTGCAGCCTTCAACACCCGAGCTCAAGCCATCTTTCTGCCTCACCCTCCCAGAAGCACACACCACCATGGCTGGCTGGTGATGAAATACTGGCCTTAAGTAATCTTTTCATCTGGGCCTTCCAAAGCTCTTGGATTATAAGCATGAGCCACCATGCCCTATGGTCAACTAATTTTTGGAAAGAGTGCTAAGACAACATTCAATGGGGAAAGAACAGGCTCTTCAACAAATGGCACTGGGACAACTGGATATTCACATGCAAAAGAATGAATCCTTACCTCATACCATATATAAAAATTAACTTGGGACTGAAAGTGGTGGCTCACGCCTGTAATCCCAGCACTTTGGGACGCCAAGGTGGGCATGGATTACTTGAGCCCAGGAGTTTAAGACCAGCCTAGGCAATAATAGTGAAACCCCATCTCTAGAAAAAATACAAAAATTAGCCAGGCATGGTGGCACAAGCCTGTGATCCCAACTACTTGGGAGGCTGAGGTGGGAGGATAGCTTGAGCCCAGGAGGTCAAGGCTGCAGTGAGCCAAGACTGCTCTACTGCACTCCAGCCTGCAGCACAGAGCAAGACCCTGTCTCAAAAAACAAAACAAAACAAAAAAATCAAAGTGGATTAAAAACTTAAAAAGCTACAACTATAAAATTATTGTTATTATTTTTTTGGAAACATAGTTTCGCTCTGTGGCCCAGGCTGGAGTGCAGTGATGCAATCTCGGCTCACTGCAACCTCTGCCTCCATGGTTCAAGTAATTTTCCTGCCTCAACTTCCCGAGTAGCTGAACAGGCACACGCCATAGGCTAATTTTTTGTATTTGAGTAGAGATGGGCACCATCTTGCTGAGGCTGATCTTGAAATCCTGAGCTCAGGCAATCCGCCTGTCTCAGCCTCTCAAAGTGCTAGGATTACAGGCATGAGCCACCGCGCTTGGTCTAAAACTATAAAATTCTTAGAAGAAAACATAGGTAAATCTTCATGACACTGAATTTGAAAATGGATTCTTAGATATGACACTAAAAATCATAAGCAACAAAACTGACAAATTGGAATTCGTCAAAATTTTGAAAGACAACCTATGGGATGCAAGAAACTATGTGTTAATCAGATATCATGTATCTGATAAGGGTCTAGTTATCAGAATAAAGAACTCTTACAATTCAGTAACAAAAAAAGACAACTTCCCCCCAATTTAAAAAATAGGCAAAGAATTTAAGAGACATTTCTCCAAAGAATATATACTAATGGCCAACAAGCACATGAAAAGATTTTCAAAAGATAGCCAAATGGTGGAAATAACCTAAATGCCCATTATTGGATGAATAGATAAACAAAATGTGGTATTATACATACAATGAACTATTATTCAGCCTTAGAAAGGAAGGAACCTGGTACAGTGGCCCACACCTCTAATCTCAGCTACTTGGGAGGCTGAGGTGGGAGGATTACTTGAGCCCAGTGAAAGTTTGAGGCTACAGCATGCTATGATGGCCTATGTGAATAGCCACTGTATTCCAGCCTGCAACACAGTGAGACCCCCAACTCTTTAAAAAAAAAAAAGAAGAAGAATGAAGTACTGATACATGCTATAAACATGGATGGAACTTGAAAACACATGCTAAGTAAAAGAAGTCAAAATGCAAAATATGTGGCGCTAAGTAAACTGCAAAAGGGACAACTATTTATAGTATGAGGACTCAAAGAAGAAGGCAGTAGACTGCCTTGCTTGGCCTCACCTAGGAATACACGTTACCCAATAGCGACTCAAATGTTTTACCCTTCTGTACGTGTTCATGAATGACCATAAAAGTGCTACGAGTACAGATTTTGGGGTTACACATAAATTTTAGCAAGTAGGTGAATTTGCAAATAAAAAAAATCTGTGACTAATGAGCATCAACCGTACTTTTTTCGTCTCCAAATAATTCAGTCTAAAAACCATTAGGTGGGGCTGAGCAAGGTTAGCATGCACATGATCTGATAAGGAAAGGAAAGACTGGGCACATTCAAGGGGATTGATCAATTAAGTAAATAGTAATATATTAAGAAAAACTGGGGCCCAGTTTCTCTGTCAGAGAAGGGAGTTACAAATACAAAAAGGAAGAAAAATAAAATGAACTCTGAGGTGTTGAGGTACTAGGTACCAGTGTGAACTCACAGTACACACACACACACACACACACACACACACACACAGAGCAAGAAATAAAAAAATGAGTCTATGTGTGTGGATGTATGTTTGTGTATGTATATACATGCATATATGCTCTAGCTCTGTCTGCTGAGAAAGTCTAGGAGCAGTGACACCTCAGTGGAACAATGCCATCTACTGTCCAGACCTAACCTCTAAATACATTCTTCAATAAAGGGAACCAGGGTACCTTGGTGAAATGATTCCAGAGGTAGGGCAGGAAAAGTATAAGAAGGGCTTTGATCATATCTGGTCCCAGAAAGAGGAAAGTGATCAAAGAATGATAGGACAATGTCAAAAGGATACAGAAGCCAGCTTGACAGGGTTTCCACTGACCAAATCTGGGACAAACTCAGCATCAAAGTACCAAAGTACACTAATAGATAACTTATTGAATAAAATATGAATCCGTAAGTCCATATTGATATAAGTTAAATAAATGGGAAGAAAACAGTTTTTCCTTTCAATGAAATGTCAATGAATGGATGTAGAAGGGATGATGAAATTAGAAAATCATCATTTGGCAGCCATCATACCAATAATCCAGCAAAAAAATTTCAATGGGTGCTAAAACTAGAAGGTGAAAGTTTGATGAGGAATGGGATACTTACATTGTCTCAAAGTACCTCCTCCTCCTCCTCATAAAATACTGATTATAAAGGAAAAAATAGTTAAATGTATGGTAGAGAAAACTGGCAGACACAATCTTAATCAAGTGACCAAGGTTAACATCAAGAAAAATGGGACACATGGAAATTATGTAGTACCTGGATGGATAAAATAAGAACACAGCACAATTTATGTGGCAATTCTGATAAAATGCATAATCTGAATCTAAAGATGAAGAAACATCAGGTCCATGTTAATGACTTCCTCAAAATAATGAGCCTGTAATCTTCAAAAGTGTCAAGGCGATCAAGTCAAAGACAGACATGACAACTAAATGCAATGTGTGATTTTAAACTGGATCCTTCACCTTTTGGGGACAACTAGAATAACTCGAATGGGGCCTGAAGATAAGCTGGTAGTACTGTACTGGTATTAAACTCCAGATTTATTTTATTTTATTTTTGGAGACAGGGTCTCACTCTGTCACCCAGGCTGGAATGCAGTGACACAATCTCAGCTCACTGCAACCTCCGCCTCCTAGGTTCAAGTGATTCTCATGCCTCAGCCTCCTGAGTAGCTGGGATTACAGGTGTGCACCACCAAGCTCGGCTCATTTTTTTGTATTTTTAGTGGAGACAGGTTTTCATCATGTTGGCCAAGCTGGTCTCAAACTCCTGACCTCAAATGATCTGCCCACCTCGTCATCCTAAAGTGCTGGGATTACAGGCGTGAGCCACCGTGCCCGGCCAAACTCCAGATTTAATGCTCATTAAAGTATTTGGGGCTGATGGGGCTCACTCTCTAATGGTTCAGGGAGCGAAAAGACTCTGTAACTATTCTTGCAATTTTTCTGTACATGTATTTATTTCAAAATAAAAAACAAAATGCAATTACGACAAAAAAAGTGCACACTAATGTCCCAGTATTATAAAAATCTAATTCTTCCTTAGTAAAATTTCTGGATAGTCAAAGTACCCCATTACCCCTACTTATTTTTACTAGCTTTTCTAATGAAAGTGTATCTCATTTTCATAGCATTCTGCAATAGAACTTTTGTGATGTTGGAAATGTTCTAAATACGTGCTGTCCAACACAGTAGCACACATGGCTAATGGCTATCATTTTGGACAGTGTAGGTCTAGAGAATAGCAGTTTGGTCACGAAAAATTAAAGAGCTTTTTCATAAAACATTAGGGTTTTTTGTCGTTGTCTGTTTTTGAGACAGGGTCTCACTCTGTCACCCAGGCTGGAGTGCAGAGGTGCGATCTCAGCTCACTTCAACCTCCACCTCCTGGACTTAAGTGATCCTCCTGCCTCAGCCTGCAAAGGAGCTGGGACTACGGGCGTGAGCCACCATGCCCAGCTAATTTTTGTATTTTTTGTAGAGACGGAGTTTCGCCACGTTGCCCAGGCTGGTCTTGAACTCCTGAGCTCAAGCAATCCACTTGCCTCGGCCTCCCAAAGTGCTAGGATAATTAATAGGCGTGAGCCACCATGCCCGGCCAAACATTAGTTTTAATACCAAACAGATTTTAACACAAATTAAATTACTTCAGTTTTTCTATACTTCTGTATATTTTCAAAATTTGTTTTTTGAGATAGGGTCTTACTCTGTCACCCAGGCTGGAGTGCAATGGTGTGATCTCGGCTCACTGTAGCCTCAACCTCCCAGGCTCAAGTGATTCTCTCACTTCAGCCTCCTGAGTAGCTGGGAATACAGACATGTGCCTCTACACCCTGCTAATTAATTTTGGTATTTTTTGTGGAGATGGGGTTTCACCAGGTTGCCCAGGCTTGTCTCGAACTCCTGGGCTCAAGTGATCTGCCCACCATGACCTCCCAAAGTACTGGGATTATAGGCCTGAGTCCCCATGCCCGGCCTTCTAATTTCTTAATCGAATCTGAATACCTACCTATTAGAAGCAACCATCTATCTTTAGTTTGAGAGCAGTCTTTTTTTTTCACTGACTTCCGTTTTAGTATACGATTTCCACTGATTGATATCCATGTCTTCTCTACTTCTTGAAATATGCTTTCCTAAAATCTAGGGGGCATGTACGTATCTACCCATACTCCCACCCTGCTCTTACATAGTTAGATCCCATAGTCACTTTCTCTCATATTTACTATTTATATTTTACTTTTATTCCCTCTCAGAGCTGCTACAGTGTATTTAATTGGTGCTACAAATTTATTTCCAGCCATGCTCAGCATAATATCCTCCTGATCAGATCAGACTATTTCAGGGCAAACACATTATTCCTTTTCCACATGAAATAAACCTATTTATTATATAATCATTCCAATATTTTAAGCCAAGAACTAAAAGTCAAAGACTAGTTTAATGACATCATCAACATAGACTAGCAGAGAAGAATGACAGCATGCTTCACATAGTTCATCAAAACAGGAATTTCAAATTCTACAACTCTTGATTTGAATACAAATGCAAAGGATTCTCATCTCTTATCATTCAGCTTAGTAACTTCAGTGAATGCAGTATCAGTGTGACTCACCTACCAGGTTCTGTTACTGTTCACTCAGAGCAAGAAAAAAATTGGTTTGTATACAACAGGCCCATGAAGTTAACACCTATGCCAAACATCATTAGAAACACTTAACAAAACTAGGAAAATCTGGAATCCTACCAAAAGCAGAACTATTTTAAGGAAGAGTTTGATCTAGAAGATTTATCCACCCCTTGCTTCTATTAATAAATATTTAAAACAACAAAAATAAAAATAAAAGCAACTAAAAATTCCTAACATCAAAATTATTTATAAGATAGCCAGGCAAAGTGGCTCATACCTGTAATACCAACATTTTGGGAAGCCGAGGCAGGAGCACTGTTTGACCCCAGGAGATTGAGACCAGCCTGGGCAACACAGTGAGACCACATCTCTACAAAAAAAAAAAAAAAAGTTAAAATAAAAAGTAGGCCGGGTGCGGTGGCTCACACCTGTGATCCCAGCACTTTGGGAGGCCAAGGCAGGTGGATCATGAGGTCCGGAGATCGAGACCATCCTGGCTAACACAGTGAAACCCCGTCTCTACTAAAAATACAAAAAATTAGCTGGACGTGTGGTGGGTGCCTGTAGTCCCAGCTACTTGGGAGGCTGAGGCAGGAGAATGGTGTGAACCCGGGAGGCGGAGCTTGCAGTGAGCCGAGATCATGTCACTGCACTCCAGCCTGGGTGACAGCGAGACTCCGTCTTAAAAAAAAAAAAAAAATTAAAAAAAACAAAAAAAAAACAAAAAAAAAACTAGCTGGGCATGATAGCACACACCTGTAGTCCCAGCCACTCCATTCCAGCCTGGGTGACAGAGCAAGATCCAGTCTAAAAAAAAAAAAAAAAAAAAAGTATATATAAAAATTATATATAATATATACTTTACTTATATATAATATACATTTTATATATTATATAATATACAAAATATATTATATATAAAATATATAATATACAAAATATATTATATATAAAATATATAATATACAAAATATATTATATATAAAATATATATTATAATATATAAAATATATAATACATATTATATATAATGCATACCCTCCACTGTGCCTTATATATATATTATATATAATATACAATACATATTATATATCATATACAATATAGTATATATATCATATATCATATATACTATACGTCATATTATATATGACGTATAGTATATATGATGTTATATATCATATATACTATACATCATATATTATATATATGTTATATATCATATATACTATACATCATATATATTATATATGATATGATATATATTATATATGATATGATATATGATAGATTATATATGATATATGATAGATTATATATATGATATATGATAGATTATATATATATCATATATTATAATATATAATTACACATATTATATATAACAATATATAACATATATATGTCATATATTATATATTATAATTAATATATTTTAATTATATTATATAATATATATTATCTTATATTATATATATTATCTAATATATATTATCTTATATTATATATATTATCTAATATATATTATATTATCTTATAATATATATTATATATTATGTAATATATAATATATAATTTATATATAAGTGAAACGGAAAAATTATATGAAATTCAAACTTCTGCATCCATAAATAAGAAAGAATGTAGCTGCACTCATTCATTTACTATTGTCTGTGGCTGGCTTCAGACAATCTTTTGTAGTTTTCGTTTGTTTTGTTTTGGTTTTTTTTGGAGATGGAGTCTCACTCTCATCCAGGCTGGAGTGCAGTGGCATGATCTTGGCTCACTGCAACCTCCGCCTCCTGGGTTGAAGCAATTCTCCTGCCTCAGCCTCCCGAGTAGCTGGGATTATAGGTGTGAGCCACCACACCAACTAATTTCTGTATTTTTAGTAGAGACGTGGTTTCGCCATGTTGGCCCAGCTGGTCTCAAACTCCTGACCTCAGCCTCAGCCTCCCAAAGTGCTGGGATTTACAAGCATGAGCCACCGCACCAGGCCTGTTTTGTTTTGTTTTGTTTTTTGAGACAGGATTTCGCTCCATCACTCAGGCTAGAGTGCAGTGGTGCAATCACAGCTAACTGCAACCTCGACCTCCCAGACTCAAGGGATCTTCCCTCTCAATCTTTTGAAGGTTAAATAATGTACATTATACAGTCTGACACAGTGCCTTACACATAACTACTTAATAAATGGTACTTACATGTTATTATTCTGATCCTTGTTGAACTGCTTTTTGATGTGTTCTGGTTATCCATAATTGGTAATCAGCCACTGTACTGACTGGCAGAGTGGAGTGGCTTATATAGCTTTCCACTGCTGCTCAGTATCCCACAAATCACAGTCACAAAGTTATAACTCAACAGCATGTTTGGTGCCACACATGCATATTGTCATACTGTGACATTTTATTTTTTATTAATGCATAACTGTTATCAGTAACTAAAAGTCGTTATTATTTTGACATTTTATTAGTACATAACTATCATTAGTTATTAGTGCATAACCATCATGTCGAAACAAAAACAAATGCACTTTGAATGTCATGTTTTTCATTTTTTTTAATTTTGTATTTTTTTAAAACTAGAGATGGACTCTCACTATGTTGCCAAGGCTGGTCTTGAACTCCTGGGCTCAAGCAATCCTCCCACCCTGGCCTCCAAAAGTGCTGGGATTACAAGTGTGAGCCACCACACCCAGCCTGAATGTCATGCTTTTAAGGCACAGTGGAGGGTATGCATTATTTTATCAAGACAAGATAGGGAAGCATTTTGTTTATTATGCAATGACTCTACGGTCATCCCTTGGTATCTGTGGATCAACCGTGGATACCAAAATCTATGCACACTCAAGTCCCACAGTGGCCCAGAGGATACAAAAATTTCACTGTTCTGTATCTGGGGGTTTCCTCAAATAACGTATTTTTGATCCACGTTTGGTTGTATATGTATAAACTGCTGATTGTATTTATTGAAAAAAAATTCTCATATAATTGGACCTGTGCAGTTTGAAACTGCGTTGTTCAAGGAGTCAACTGTCTGTCTGTGCTAAAAGAATTCAAAATACATCAATGTTACCAAACTAAGGACCGATCACAGTATTTCCGATTCACAGGAAAGCAATGGTCAGAAAAATTTGAAAATTTAAAGTGGAATATTTCATTACAGCAAGGAGGGAAGGTAAGGAATAGAAAGTTTGTAAAGGAGGGAAGTTTCTAAGTAGCTCATTTGTTAGCAAAGCAAGAAAAGTAATATTCTAGTGATAAGTGAATTAAATCATGAAGAAGCTGAAGAAATGTATCCAGAGAAAATAAACTTGTTTAAGAGTATTAATTAGCCTTTCTCTAGGCTTTCTCCAGACAGGTAACAAAAAAATTATTTTTTAAATTTAATATAAGATAATTTAAAAAGAAAAAAAGACTATTAGCCTTTCAACAAAATCATTTGCTCTAAAAGTCGAAAATATTAGGAGCAAGATCAATAATCTGTTTAAAAAAAAAACCAAGGCAATTGAGGTTAAGTAGATTTCCATCTCTTTTGAATGAGTTTGATAGATGTTACAACACTGTTCAGATGTTTATTCAAGGAGTCAGTGCCAAGTTTAAAACAACTGAAGAATTAGCTTCTATGAATAGTCTGTGTTGAACAACTACAAACAAGAAGGTGAAAAAGTACTAATTCCATATAACCTAAAGTGGAATCTCAGATACGTTATCATTGATAATGGTAAAAATATGTGTGAAGCAGAAAAAGGCTTAGTTGGGTGATTTATAAAACGTGAAAATGTAAGGTGGTTATTCATGTTTTTTATCAATAGATATTCTATGAAAAATATCTGAATTTATCATGAATTATTAAACCAACCATGTTAATGGTGAATTTCATTCACTGCCATGGGCTTAACCATTGTCAGAAACAGAAGCTGAATAACCTGACTTGCCCAGGCACACAGCAGTTTGACGGCTGAGCTGTACTAAAGTTTTATCATGCTTTTTTTTTTTTCTTTTCAGCTTGGAACTGAGATTGAAATTTTTCACAACAATAAGACTGCTTTCAGACACTATGATCAAACAATAAATGGCTTTGAGAATTAGCTTTTGCTAATTTTATAATAGTAAATTCAACTTAAAATTACAGGACAGAACAACACTTATATATGAAACTTAAACTGTTGTTATTTAGACAACTAACTTTTGAATCATAAGCAACGTTGAGCTGCTTTATACACTTTACATGCTATCAAAAGTTAAAACAAGAAGTGAGATCTCCATTCCCAAACAAATTTGCAGTGGATATAGTTTCTTAGCTCACACTACATTTCCAGAATAATTTTTAGGACCTTAATGCACAAGGAAATATCTATATTTCAGTATCTATTTAACAGTGCAATTGTGGAGCTTCTGTCTAACCTTCCATTGGAAGTAATTAAGCAGCAATGAATAATATACTAAAAGGTAAATGTTATAAGAAAAACCTAATTCTATAAATGCTTCCTGAGTTATTAATATGCTCAATTAAAATCATATGTTTATGGGCTGGTATCAATTATTTGACATGTATGTGTGAAGACATGTCAAAGATGAAATATATAAAACCTCATTACAGACCTGCATTAATAGATAAATACTTGCAATCAATTTTGATGATTATTTATTGAATAGGAAGCACTAACTCTGAACTCCAATTAAGAAAATGTTATCACTCCGAAAAGAACTCCATTCTTCTCATTAGTATACCTGTATTTCAATAAATTGTGTTTATTATTTTGAATTTAATCAATTAAGAAATTTCTCAAAATTTGTTTTCTCTCTTGTTATATCAGAACGTACGTATTACCCTTGATTCTACTTCAGCCTGCAAAATCTAAAATATTTACTATCTGGCCCTTTATAGGAGGATCAGATAATTACTTCTTTGGAGAAAGGTTTTCTTCAGCCGAAGCATATAAAAGCTTGTCCTCTATCTCCTTCTGGGATTGGTAAAAACTTATCTAACACAAATAGGACTCAGGGCTGACTGGTTACATGAAAAAGTACAGTATATCAGGTAATTTTAAAAATGTAACTGAAATATTTGATTTTTACTCAAAACAAATACATGTCACCTGCCAATATTACGGTAAAAAACCAAGGCCTCTTCTTTAAGTACATTTCTACTAATTAATGTTTCAAATGTTCTCTCTTGCATATTCATTACAAATATATCATATCCATAACCCATCATATCCATAATCCACATTTGTGATTTCAAATTTCAGTTTCTTTAAATGGAACAAGAATCTAGGCAACTGTAAGACAACTGAGTATAGATCGTTTAAGAATTTTACGAGGTCAGGTGTGGTGGCTCACACCTGTAATACCAGCACTTTGGGAGGCCGAGGCGGGTGGATCACCTGAGGTCAGGAGTTCGAGACCAGCCTGACCAACATGGAGAAACTATGTCTCTACTAAAAATACAAAAAAGTAGCCAGGTGTGGTGGCGCATGCCTGTAATCCCAGCTATTCGGCAGGCTGAGACAGGAGAATCATTTGAACCCAGGAGGCAGAGGTTGTGGTGAGCTGAGACCACACCATTGCACTCTAGCCTGGGAAACAAGAGCAAAAAAAAAAAAAAAAAAAAAAAAGAATTTTATGATTTCCACCCCCAATCTTTCAAAATATTCACGCCCACAATTAGTAAGACAGTAATTTGGTGAAAAGGGGAAAAGGGGATTTGTATTTATCCAATTTGTTCAAGATCTACAACTTAATTTTCCTAAAAACAACTACTTTTTGCAGTCATATTTCATTAGTTAATGTTTAATTAAATTATAAAATTACAGTACTAAATGTAACTGGCATAAGCAGATTTGGAACAAACATACTGACCCCTGGAAGTGTAAAATTCAACTAGTGAGAGACGAAGGCAAGATGTGCTAGAGAGCAGCCAACCAGCCATGAGTGTTCAACTTTTCTTAGGAAACATTCAGTATATTCTAGAGGAAGAATAGAGTGTGGTTATTTCTGTAATTTGATTATATATACTCTATTATCAGCGGTCTCCAATCTTTTTGGCACCCAGGGACCAGTTTTGTGGAAGACAATTTTTCTATGAAATGGAGGGGTGGAGGATATGGTTTCAGATTTTGGGATGAAGCTGCAACACCTCAGATCATCAGGCATTAGATTCTCATAAGGAGCACACAACCTAGATCCCTGGAGTGTACAGTTCGCAGTAGGGTTTGTGCTCCTATGAAAATCTAATGCTGCTGCTGATCTGACAGGAGGCAGAGCTCAGGTGTAATGTTCCCTGGCCTAAAGTTCATATCCTGCTGTGTGGCCCAGTTCCTAACAGGATGGTCTGTGGCCTGGAGGTTGGGTATCCCTGCTCTATATAATTTGGTGATTATTTGAATATAGTCTAAATTAGAAATCTTTACGTATTTTTCCCCAAACAGCCCACTGTTACAGGATCATTCTTAGTAATCGATCATTTTCTCCCTGATTTCTGAATGCCACTTTCAACATATTCCTTTTTTCTTTCTTTTTTCATTTCACTCCTTCCTACACACTGACACTTTCATATTCTAAATTCCTATATATATTCAGGTCTGTTTCTGGACTATTTTTCTCTAGTTATTTGCCTATTCTTTTTTTTTTTTTTTTTTTGAGACGGAGTCTTGCTCTCTAGCCAGGCTAGAATGCAGTGGTGTGATCTCGGCTCACTGCAACTCTGCCTCCTGGGTTCAAGTGATTCTTCCAGCTCAGCCTCCCGAGTAGCTGGGACCGCAGGCATCCGCTACCATGCCCGGCTAATTTTTTGTATTTTAGTAGAGACGGAGTTTCACCATGTTGGCCAGGATGGTCTCGATCTCCTGACCTCACGATCCGCCCACCTCGGCCTCCCAAAGTGCTGGGATTATAGGCATGAGCCACCGCGCCTGGCCAGCATTTTATATCTTTAAAAAAATCCTTCAGTAAAGCTTCATAGTTTTCTTCAAATTAGTCTTGCCTATTTCTCGTTAATTTGCACTCTCTCTTCTCTATTTGTGCATCATTTAAAAATTTTAAAAATTCTGCTAGTGTAGCACTTAACATGAATTTAATTTTGTAAGAATACATAGACTGGGCGCCATGGCTCATAACTGTAATCCCAGCACTTTATAAGGCCAAAGCAAGATCACTTGAGCCCAGGAGTTCAAGACCAGCCGGGGCATCATAGAAAGACCCTATCTCCACACACACAAAAAAATAAATAAAAATTGGCTGGGCATGGTGGCACGCGTCTGTGGTCCTAGCTACTCAAGAGAGACTGAGGCGGGAGGACTGCTGGAGCCCAGGAGATTGAAGTTGCAGTGAGCCATGATTGCGCCACTGCCCGCCAGCCTGGGTGGGTAAAAGATCCAGTCTCAAAAAAAAAAAAGTTATGGAAACCCACCAAGCAAATCCTTAAAAGGGATAGAAAAACAGATGGCTTATTCATCTGGAGTAGGGAGGAGCTTCCTAAATCTGCCATCTCTTATAAACCTAAAACAAACATGCCTTCCTTCCTTTAAAAATATTTCACAAATAAGTTCCGTAAAAACCTCCTCTGAATTTATTTAATATTCAGCCTTTACAATCCCATCAATAATTCTTTCTTTTTTTTAAGTTGGGGTCTCACTCTATTGCCCAAGCTGGAGTGTAGTGGCATTATCATGGCTCACCACAGCCTCAAATTCCTGGGCTCAAGCGATCCTCCTGCTTCAGCCTCCTGAGTAGCAAGGGCTACAGGCATATAACCACCGCGCCCAACTAATTTGTGAATTTTTTTGCAGAGTCAGAGTCTTGCTATGTTGCCCAGGCTGGTCTTGAACTCCTAGCCTTAAGCAATCCCCCACCTTAGCCTCCCAAAGCACTATGATTACAGGCATCAGCCACTACACCCAGCCAATAATTCTATTTCTTATATATAAATGGAATAGCCAACATTTGCTAAGTGTTCCCTATAAGCTAGGCACATTACACAACTTTGCTCACTTACTCCACATCACAACCCCATGAAACAGACATTATTTACAGGTTGAGTATCCCTTATCCAAAATGCTTGGAACCAGACGTGGTTTGGATTTCAGGTTTTTAAAGATGTTGGAATATTTGCATTACACTTACTTACCAATTGAGCATTCTTAACCCAAAAATCCGAAATCCAAATGCTCCATGGAATAAGCATTTCCTTTGAGCAGTCATGTAGGCATTCAAAAAGTTTCAGATTTTGGAGCATTTCAGATTTCAGATTAGGAACACTCAAACTGCACTATCTCCCATTTTGCAGATGAAGAAACTGAGGCACAGAGAGGTTAAGTAACTGGCACAAGGTTACGTACCCAAAAAGTAGCAGAGATGGGATTTGAACCCAGGCAGCCCAGCTTCAAAATCCATGAAATATTATGGAGTCATAATATTTCATATTTTCATTTCATTAGTGGGTTGGCTTTAACGGGCCAGTTGAAAAACCTTCATTGTGCTCATTATAAAACTCAGCATATCTACAATTCAACATTTTGAACGCTTAAAAACAAAAAATAAAACCCTCAAATTAGTAAAATTCTCAAATTAAAATCTAATCTTCAATATTCTAAAAAAGAAACAAACCAATTGTTCTATATTTTATAGGTCCTGTTTAAATTAGACACAAACCTTGGGTTAAATCACTCACTTAACTGAATCATTTAAATCTATTCAACAATGTTCCCAAGCCTCCTCTAGGATGACCTGGAATCACTTGGCATCAATCTTTCCAATATGTGTTATTAAAGAATCTCATGCTTTTAAAAGAAAGAATCAGACCAGTGCCGGCAGCTGCCAAGAATGAGTTTACTGCCTAGTTTCCATGACTGCATCAATCTGGGACCAGCATAAGAGAGAAGACATATCCCTGGAAACCAACTTTTTGCTCCCCTCAATTAAGAAAGGGAGTAGGGAAAAAAGAAAGAAAGCAAGCTTCAGAATAATTTGATTTGTGTTGAATGTGCCCATTGCACATGATAACCACAGGTGAAAGTTGTGCAATCAAAATTGTGGTAAAGTTATGAGGTGCTTAGTGTTTACCAAGAATATCTTATGATCTGTATAAAAT
This sequence comes from Homo sapiens, assembly GCF_000001405.40. NCBI lineage: Eukaryota > Metazoa > Chordata > Mammalia > Primates > Hominidae > Homo > Homo sapiens. Next base: position 2,902,217 of record NC_000020.11, on the reverse strand, counting down.
ATTTTGGTTTCAATCTTTAAAAAAATCACAATTGGCCAGGCGCAGTGGCTCACACCTGTAATCCCTGCACTTTGGGAGGCCGAGGGAAGTGCATCACCTGAGGTCAGGAGCTCGAGACCAGCCTGACCAACATGGTGAAACCCCATCTCTACTAAAAATATAAAAATTAGCCAGTGTGGTAATGCTCACCTGTAGTCCCAGGTTCTCGGGAGGCTGAGGCAGGAGAATCACTTGAACCTGGGAGGCAGAGGTTGCAGTGAGCTAAGACTGCGCCACTGCACTCTAGCCTGGGTGACAGAGCGAGACTCTGTATCCAAAAAAAAAAAAGAAAAAATCACAATAAAAGCTACACCAACAAGAACTTTATGAATAAAATATCTAAATGGGGACGATATTTATACTGCTAGTCAGTATCTTTACTGTTCAATTGCATGCTAACACCTGAATTCTCCACATACATCCTGTATGCTCTAGAAGTACTCTTTGTTTTAGGTATTGTATATTGTAAAATTTCAAAACGGAAGATTTTTCCAAATTAGGGAGCAGAGTCAATATACTTACAATAATACATATAACATATATAACATAAGTAACAATATAACATAAGTAACAGGTTCATTCATCTCAGCTGCATTTCTAAGGCAAGAACTTACAATAAAGTACAAATGAGTTTTAACAACATATATTAAATACAATCTCCCAGGTTTTCTTAAACCAGCAGTCGTACTACCCCTCCTTCCCTGGAGCTATAAATATACTTCCTGCCATCAATAGCAATGGCTGAAGCAACCTCTCTGTTCAAAGGAACTAAAAATACATTATTGTACATATCCTCCCTTCAGCTACCCACCCACCATTACAAGAGGAACTGACAGAGGGAAATGTAAAAGCTGTGTAAAGTTCAGCTGAGAGCAGTGCAGACTGTAATTCTCCTCAAGGGAAAAAAAAAGGCTGGGTGCGGTGGCTCATGCCTGTAATCCCAGCAATTTGGGAGGCCGAAGCAGGTGGATCACAAGGTCAGGAGTTCGAGGCCAGTCTGGCCAAGATGGTGAAACCCTGTCTCTACCAAAAATACAAAAATTAGCGAGGTGTGGTGTCGCGCGCCTGTAATCCCAGCTACTCTGGAGGCTGAGGCAGGAGAATCACTTGAACCAGGAGGCAGAGGTCACAGTGAGCCGAGATCGCGCCACTGCACTCTAGCCTGGGCAACAGAGCAAGACTCCATCTCAAAACAAAACAAAACAAAAAAAACAAAATTAGGCTAGCTCCAACTGAATGATGTCTAGGGAGGGAACAATCAACTATTTCAGGGTCAGGGTAAATTTTTAAAATTTTGGAGAAGCTATTTTTTTTTTTTTTTGAGATGGAGTTTCGCTCTTGTTGCTCAGGCTGGAGTGCAATGGCTTGATCTTGGGTCACTGCAACCTATGCCTCCTGAGTTCAAGCAATTCTCCTGCCTCAGCCTCCAAAGTAGCTGGGATTACAGGCACCTGCCACCACGCCCAGCTAATTTTTTGTATTTTTAGTAGAGATGGGGTTTCACCATGTTGGTCAGGCTGGTCTCGAACTCCTGACCTCAGGTGATCCACCCGCCCCGGCCTCCCAAAGTGCTGGGATTACAGGCATGAGCCACCACGCCCACCTGAGAAGCTTTTCTTGATCACAGGTTATATTTTGTATTTCATTAACTGCTATTTGAGGACTGGCATTATTTAATTAAACCACAGCAATGGAAATTTATGAATATCAAAACCAAGCAAACTGAGTACTACCTGTATGTAACAATGGCTCATGGAACTTGAAGGAGTGATCAGCCAGCTCATTCAGTGGGGCTGGGGGCAAGAAAATGGCCTACATAGTCAGGAGATTGTCACCAACAGGAAGGTGAGTAAAAAGGACAATGTGAGAGCCAAGCACAGTGGCACGTGCCTGTATGGTCCCAGATACTCAGGAGTCTGAGGCGAGAGGATGGCTTGAGGCAACAGTGAGCTATAATCGTGTCACTGCGCTACCGCCTGGGTGACAGGGCAAGACCCCATCTAAAGAATTAATGAATGAATGAAAAAAAAAAAGGAGGCAGATTTTTCGTTTTGTTTTGTTTTGTTTTTGAGATGGAGTCTCACTCTGTCGCCCAGGCTAGAGTGCAGTGGCGCTATCTCAGCTCACTGCAGCCCCCACCTCCTGGGTTCAAACGATTCTCCTGCCTCAGCCTCCCGAGTAGCTGAGATTACAGGCGACCACTACTACAACACCTGGCTAACTTTTGTACTTTTAGTAGAGATGGGGTTTCATCATGTTGGCCAGGCTGGTCTCGAGCAACTGACCTTAAGTGATCTACCTGCCTTGGCCTCCCAAAGTGCTGGGATTACAGGCAAGAGCCACTGTGCCTGGCCTCAGATTTTTCAATGTCAGAAAAGGGAAACACCAGAAGAAACCCTATTGTGTTGGACTAGAATTAAGAGTATTGGAATGAAACCATGGCTTTCATTATTTACAGGAAGATACAGATGTATATATGTATGTATAGACATGCATACATACCTATATAATCATTCTTGATATTCTGTAATTGATGATTTGGCATCTTGAAAGGATGGGCCAAATTAACGACCAAAGTTGTTTACATTCATACCATCTCTGTGTTTTTGAGGCTACACAAAAATCATATTACAAACCGTCCAACCACAAATCTCAACATTTGTGTTTCTCTTTCTGCTCAATAGGGGATGTCCCACCTAACAACTTTCTAGCACTTTAACAAAAAAAAAACTCACCCATCCTTTCCTCTGGTTCCTTCTGCCTCCTGACCCACCCTGGTGCTTCCCCATGTGGTCCTGCATAGTATGGTGCGCCTGCTGTTTCAGAAGAACTGTGAGTAACACATTTTCAATAATATTGGCCTCTCTGTGTCATTCATACCTATAAATTAAATTCCAGTATATTTTATTTATTTGTTTATTTTTTTAAGTCAGGGTCTCACTCTATCTCACTCTAGCTAGGACTATAGGTGCGTGTCACCACGCCTGGCTACTTTTTGTGTTTTTTGGTAGAGATGGGGTTTCATCATGTTGGCCAAGCTGGTCTCGAACTCCTGATCTCAAGTGATCTGCCAGCCTTGCCTGCCTCAGCCTACCAAAGTGCTGGGATTACCTGGTACATTTTAAAACAATATTCTAGTTCTCTCCTCACATAGAGCCTAAAAGGAAGAACACCCCAATAGAAAGAACATATCTAGTAGTGCACATATTTTATTTTCTAAGTACATTCACTAATAAAAGGAACCAGGGTTCCCTGATAAAATTATTGATTCCACGACTGAGATAACAAAAGTAAAGATGAGCCCAGAAATTTTTTTTTTTTGAGACGGAGTCTCGCCCTGTCATCCAGGCTGGAGTGCAGTGGCGCAATCTCAGCTCACTGCAACCTCCGCCTCCCGGGTTCAAGCAATTCTCCTGCCTCAGCCTCCCTAGCAGCTGGGACTACAGGTGTGTGCCACTATGCCCGGCTAATTTTTATATTTTTAGTAGAGACAAGGTTTCACTATGTTGGCCAGGCTGGTCTCGAACTCCAGACCTCAGGTGACCCACCAGCCTCGGCCTCCCAGAGTGCTAGGATTATAGGCGTGAGCCACCTCGCCCAGCCCACAGAAAATCTTATTATTCCAAAAAGTAAGAAAAAAAGTGATCAAAGAATGATGGGGACATGACCAGGCGTGGTGGCTCATGCCTATAATCTCAGCACTTTGGGAAGCCAAGGCGGGCGGATCACCTGAGGTCAGGAGTTCGAGACCAGCCTGACCAACATGGTGAAATCCTGTCTCCACTAAAAATAGAAAAATTGCCAGGCGCGGTGGCTCACGCCTGTAATCCCAGCACTTTGGGAGGCCGAGGTGGGCGGATCACAAGGTCAGGAGATCGAGACCATCCTGGCTAACACAGTGAAACCCCGTCTCTACTAAAAATACAAAAAAATTAGCCGGGCATGGTGGCGCATGCCTGGAGGCTGAGACAGGAGAATGGCGTGAACCCGAGAGGCGGAGCTTGCAGTGAGCCGAGATCGCGCCACTGCACTCCAGCCTGGGCGACGGAGCAAGACTCCGTCTCAAAAAATAAAAAAAATAAAAACAAAAATAGAAAAATTAGCCAGGTGTGGTGGCAGGTGCCTACAATCCCAGCTACTTGGGTGGCTGAGGCAGGAGGATCGCTTGAACCTGGGAGGTGGAGGTTGCAGTGAACAAAGAGCACGCCATTGCACCCCAGCCTGGGCAACAAGAGCAAAACTCTGTCTCAAAAAAAAAAAAAAAAAAAAAAAGAATGATGAGGACATGGAAAAAGGACACAGGAGCCAGCCTGAAAGGGTTCCCACTGGCCAAATTTGGGACAATTTGAATATCAAAAAATACATGAAAAAGGAACAAAATAAGAATCAATGAGGCTGTGCTCATATGTTTAAAAGATTTTTAAACAAACAAAAACAAAGACAAAAACCAGAGAGAGAAAGCTTTTCCTTAGAGTGAAATAGCAAGTGATTGGCTGGGCACGGTGGCTCAAGCCTGTGATCCCAGCACTTTGGGAGGCCAAGGTGGGCAGATCATCTGAGGTCAAGAGTTCAAGACCAGCCTAGCCAACATGGTGAAACCCCATCTCAACTAAAAATACAAAAATTAGTAGGGCATGATGGCGGGTGCCTGTAACCCCAGCTACTTGGGAGGGTGAGGTGGCAGAATCACGTGAACCTGGGAGGCAGAGGTTGCAGTGAGACGAGATCACGCCATTGCACTCCAGCCTGGGTGACAAAGCGAGACTCCGTCTCAAAAAAAAAAAAAAAAAAAAAGAAATGCCAAGTGATGAATTCAGAAGAAATAATGAAATTTTTTAAATTTACCATCTAGCAACCACTATAATAACTGATTCAGGCACAAATCACCAATGGATGGTAAAACTAGCAAGCAAAAATTTGATGAGAAATAAGCTATTTATATAGTCTCAAAGCATCACCCCACAAAATGCATTATTACTTACTAACCAGTAAGTATGAAATACCTCTAAACTAATTTTACAAAAACTTGCCAGCCAACATCTTAACCAAGTGGTAAAATTAAACATAACCAGTAATTGGACAAATTGACATGAACCTCTTGATACGATGCAGTGAGAAGAACATAATATCGTGTCTTTGGTATTCCTGCCACAAATGCATAACCTAAATCTATTCAAAAGGAAACATCAGACTAACCCAAATTGTGGGACTTGCTACAAAATAATTCTCTACTCTTCAAAAATATTAGGATCACTGAAAATAAGGAAAGACTGAGAACTATTCTAGATTAAAAGAGACTGAACAGACATGACAACTAAACGCAAGGCATAATCCTGAATGGTCCCTGAATCAGAAATAAGTGAAGGGGAAAGGGAAGTTTTTCTGCTTTTGTTTTCTTGAGGGAATTTTGTTGGTTTCTGTTGTTTTGTTTTTGCTATAAAAGACATAATTGGAAGATCAGTGAAATTTGAGTAGGGTCTGTGAATCAGATGGCAGTATTATATCAATATTTATTTCCTGATTTTATAGGAGAGTATCCTTGTTTTCAGGAAACACACCCTGATTTATGGGTAATACAGCATTATGTTTGCAACTTATTTCTCAAATGATTCAGAAAAATTACATAGATGGGTGAAGTGAGAAAGAGAAGACGCAATTGTACAACATTAACAACCTGTGGAATCTGGGTAAACTAGGCCAAATGGCAAATAAATACCAACAATTTCCAAAGGACTGAAAGTGCATGTAGGCCGTATTCTTTGCGTGTGTGTGTTTTCGTTTGTTTTTTGTTTTTGTTTTTGAGACGGAGTCTCCCTCTGTTGCACAGGCTGGATTGCAGTGGCACTATCTCGGCTCACTGCAACCTCCACCTCCCGGGTTCAAGCGATTCTCCTGCCTCAGCCTCCCTAGTAGCTGGGATTACAGGCACCCACCACCATGCCCGGCTAAATTTTTTTTGTATTTTTAGTAGAGACAGGGTTTCACCATGTTGGCCAGGCTGGTCTTGAACTCATGACCTCAAGTGATCCCCCTGCCTCAGCCTCCCAAAGTGCTGGGATTACAGGTGTGAGCCACCGTGCCCAGCCTATAGACCATATTCTTTAACCACAATGTATAATCTATAAATCCGTTACAAAAAGATAACTAGAAAAAACCTATTTGAAAATAAGAGACACTTATAAATACATACAGATCAAAGAAAAAAACAGAATGAAAATCAGAAAATAGCCTGATCTCTTATTGAAAAAACTGAACCAAAATATCGGTAATTTGACTCCATCAACACATAACATAAAAAAGACATTGTACATCATGATCAAGTTGTGCTGAACATTAAAAATTGGTTAATAAGCCGGGTGCGGTAGCTCACACCTGTAATCCCAGCACTTTGGAAGGCCAAGGCAGGTGGATCACTTGAGGCAGGAGTTCGAGAACAGCCTGGCCAAGATGGGGAAACCCCATCTCCACTAAAACTTCAAAAATTAGCCAGACTAATTCCAGGTGTTTGGTGGTGCACATCTGTAATCCCAGCTACTTGGGAGGCTGAGGCACGAGAATTGCTTGAACGCAGGAGGCTAAGTTTGCAGTGAGCCAGGATCGTGCCATTGCACTCCAGCCTGGGTGACAGAGCAACACTCTGTCTCAAAAAAAATAAAATAAAATAAAATACAGTTATCAATACTACAGTTGTCATGACAATCTTAAAATGAGGAAAATCAATCCCTGATCTGGAAGAGTTCAGGAGCCTTCAGCAATTACGTGATATTTCAGCTGGGTCTAAAAGAATATGTAGTAGGCTGGGTGTGGTGGCTCACACCTGTAATCCCAGCACTTATGCACTTTGGGAGGCTGAGGTGGGTGGATCACTTGAGGTCAGGAGTTCTAGACCAGCCTGGCCAATATGGTGAAGCCCCATCTCTACCAAAAATACAAAAATTAGCTGGGTGTGGTGACGCATGCCTGTAGTCCCAACTACTCAGGAGGCTGAGGCACGAGAATCACTTGAACCTGGGAGGCAGAGGTTGCAGTGAGCCAAGATTATACCACTGCACTCCAGCCTGCTGACAGATCAAGACTCTGTCTAAAATAAATAAATAAATAAATAACAAGTAATAGTATAGTTATTTAGGCTTTTGTTTAATGAATTCAGTTTCAAAGAGAAAGACAAACTACTTTTTTTTTTTTTTTTTGGGTGAAGGAGTCTCGCTCTGTCGCCCAGGCTGGAGTGCAGTGACGTGATCTCTGCTCACTGCAAGCTCCGCCTCCCGGGTTCACCCCATTCTCCTGTCTCAGCCTCCCGAGTAGCTGGGACTACAGGCGCCCGTCACCACGCCTGGCCAATTTATTTGTATTTTTAGTAGAGACGGGGTTTCACCGTGTTAGCCAAGATGGTCTTGATCTCCTGACCTCGTGATCCACCCGCCTCAGCCTCCCAAAGTGCTGGGATTACAGGCATGAGCCACCAGGCCTGGCTCTCAAACTAAATCTTATACGTACAATCTTTGACAGTCCTTTCACAGTTAAAGTGAAGATCACAAACTGGTAGCACAGTGGGCTAAAAAAAAAAAAATTGGCCAGCACAGTGGCTCATGCCTATAATTCTAGCACCTTGGGAGGCCAAGGCTGGAAGATCACTTGAGCCCGGGAGTTCAAGACCAGCTCAAGCAACACAGCAAGACTCCATCTCTAAAAAAACACAAAAAAACTGAAGTTGAACTCATTTAGACCAGCCTTGGAAACTCCAGTGTGGCACAGGACCCAACAGATTTACTTCTCTCATTCACACTGACTACATAGCCTTGAAAAACGTATTTGGGTTTGGAACCCCTGACTCACTTAATGCCAAAAATAAGCAGGATTATGGGGAGGAGAAGAGAAGGAAGAGGCATTTTCAAAACCTGCTGAGTTTTGAGGGCATTATAGAGGCTGAAAGTTTCTGGTTTTAATGTATTCTCCAGTTTTAAAATCGAAAAGAAAATCTGCAAAACTGGAAGACAAACACTGAACCAAACATTTCTGTATCAATAAACCTCATATAAAATTATTCTGCTGTTTGATTATATAACTATTATGTTCTATGGCAACCTACTGATGAAATACGGGAATACCAAAAATAATTAACTACTTTTTTCCATGTCATTATCTCCACCATATTAAAAAAAACTTTCTTGAAAAAGATGCTATTGTTATTTTAATTACTCACATGAGACTATTTCAAATTCTTAACTTTAGTTCTAGTAGAATGCTTATATATTTAATATCTGGTATAAATATTAATTATATAGTATAGTCTACTGTATATATATATATCAAAATCTTTGTAGGCAATATATCTGCAAGAAATAAGACACATCTAGAATAGACACACGTAATCTTCAAAAGCAGTGTGTACCATGCTTTTACATACTCTTTGGTCACTGGGTTAGAAGGTCATGTGCCAAGAAGGAAATGGTTCTGGGCTGTCCTTCAAAAGGCAGAGTGAAAGATTTCCCAAGTAACATGAAGATTTTCATGAGCCATGGATAAGCAACAATAAATAACCAGCTGACAATAAAAACAGATCCATATACCATTTTGGGGATGAAAATATAGCTAAGGATTAAATGTGATTAAATATATGATATATATGATATACCATATATACATGATGTATCATATAGCTACATAATATATTAAGTACAGCTAAGATTAAATATTTCTAATCTAAACTGTCATCTAAATGTAAGAAATCTCCAGCTGTCTTAAATGTCCAGTTGATGTGCATAACTCCATCTGCCAGCTATGCTATCTGAGGGACACATGGTATTCTTGCTGGAGTCATGTAGTTGATTATACTTTATACTCAGGTCATGTCGTCTCATTTAAAGGGAATACCAGTTCACTCTACAAAGCTATCAACTGTAATCCATAAGTGTAAGATCTTTAGTATGGTTCTATTGGAGTAAATCTCTCATTCCTACTACAAACCAGGCACTGCATTAGCAGCTGGAGATATAAAACTGCAAAACAAACAAGTCCCATAAATCCCTGCCCTCAAAGAGCACCCAGTTTAATTGAGAAACAAACTAATACAACTTTGACATTCAAAGAAATGTTCACAAAAACCAAACCTTTCAAGAGCCGTTGGATACCATTATGATTTATTATACAGAATACAATTAAGACAGAATTGACAGTGAAATTCCTTCAAATCTTCATAAATGTATAAAAACAGAATTAATGCTGGCTTCCTTCTGAATACCATTTTTCACACAGAAAGTCTTAATCCCTTCAGGAGAGCTGTGGCCTATCTAAAGCAGAAAATAAAGACAGAATTAGATGCTAAGTGAGGCTTGGCTCACTGAACAGCTAAACCGAACTTAGTTCTGCTGCCACTAAACTCAACTGGGTAAATAAAGATGCTCCTTGCCCTACAATGGGGCTATATTCCAATATACCCACCATAAACTGAAAATATCGTTTAAGTAGGAAATGCATTTAACACACTTTACCTACCGAATGCCATAGTTAGCCTAGCCTACCTTAAATGTGTTCAGAACACTCACATTAGCATACAGTTGAGCAGAATCACCTGGCAACACAGTACACCATGGAGTATACTCATTTACCCTCCTGATCACATGGCTGACTGGGAGGTGTGGGTCAATGCTTCTGCCCAGCACCATGAGAAATTGTCACACTGCATATCACTAGCCTGGGAAAAGATCAAATTTCAAAATTGGAAGTACAATTTCTACTGAATACGTATATCACACCAGCTTTCCCACCATCATAGTATAAAAATCATAAGTTGAACCATCATAAATCAGGGACCATCTATAATGTGAATCCATGCTTCAGTAAATTACATACAGTTGGCCCTCTCTTCTTTTTTTTTTTTTTTTTTTTTGAGACAGAGTCTCATTCTGTTGCCCAGGCTGGAGTGCTATGGCAGGATCTTGGCTCACTGCAACCTTCAACTCCCAGGTTCAAGCAATTGTCCTGCCTCAGCCTCCAGAGTAGCTAGGATTACAGGCACCTGCCACCATGCCTGGCTAATTTTTGTATTTTTAGTAGAGACACGGTTTCACCATATTGGCCAGGCTGGTCTCGAGCTCCTAACCTCAGGCAATCCTCCCACCCCAGCCTCCCAAAGTGCTGGGATTACGGGTGTGAGCCACCGCGCCCGGCCCAGTTGACCCTCTCTATCTGTGGGTTGCACATCCACAGATCAAAAAAATAAACAAATAAAACCATAAAATAAGAAACAAACTTAAAAATACAGTATAACAGCTATTTACATAGTATTTGCATTGTTTTAGCCATATAGGTAATCTGGAGATTATTTAGGGCCTATAAAGTACACAGGAGGATGTGCATAGGTTACATGCAAATATGCCATTTTATATAAGGCACCTGAGTATCCCTGGATTTTGATCTCCATGGGGGGGATCCTGGAATCAATCACCTGAAGATACTAAGAGACAACTGCATTACTATACCTTTTGGACTATCAGGATCCTTCTGAGACTATAAATGTTTAATCTACACATGCCAATGTGTGAATTATCATATAAGTGTATGAATTATCATACAATAAGTGACTTGACAGATATAAGCACAGAATCTACACTGGGTCAGACTTGGAGTAGTCAGTAAGGAAATGCTGACTGGAGGAGCTGATCTCTATCTGATAAATTATAATGTCAAGTAAGAAGGAGGGAGGTGGGCAGTCCAACCAAAGACAGAGAGCAAGAAAGAGCACAGCACCACCAAGGATCAAGCGGCAGTGGGCTCAGAGAAAAGATAAGGCTACCAACGTTAAGAGGAGTTGGATCATGAGGGCCTGCTCTGTTAAGGAGTTTGGATTTTATTCACAGAATCTAAAGTTGGGAAGTTAAAGAGATCACTTTTGGCAGCCATCTAATCAATGACTTGGAATGAGAAACTAATAATGAGTAGACAACAAGGGAACCTGCAGCAGTCATCTAGGTGAGAAGCAGCCTGAATTAAGGGATAGGAGAAATGGTGGAAAATAGGCAAATTTGAGAAATGTTACAGATGTAAAACAGTTAGGAACAGATCACCAACCAGATGAACAACATTCAAGTTTCCAGTTTGGGTCACTGTGTTGTGCCATTCATCAAGATAGAGATTATAAAAATAACACGCTGAAAAGGAAGATGAGTCAGTTCTGAGACTGTTATAGGTACCTGGGAGATAGCCCAATGGAGACCAGTAGGCTGTTGGCTGTAATCCAGATGGGTTCTGAGGACAAAGTTTCTCCTAATTAGCAAGGAAGCTGAAACCATGGACATGTGCTTCCAGGAAGAACGTGTAGAATCAACACAAGAAGGCCAGAGATGGAATCTTTGGTAACTCAAACAAGGAGTGGTCAAAGAAGAGGGGCCTAGGGAACTGAGGAGTGGCCACAAAGATAGAAAGAGGAAAACAAGGAGAATGTGTCACATAACTCAGGGAAAGATAGTTCAGGGAATAAAGACTGTAAAGTTGATCACATTTACTCAGCTTTTTTCTCTCTTCCCTCTCCCATCCTTTACACACTCTCCCCTGTTAAAATCAGAAAGGTAAAAAGTTATTCTGTGATAATTCAAATAATGCTACACTGTGCCCCAAATCAACTACTAGGGAGGGAAGACAGAGAATCAAGATCATTATATTTTCTAACATTTATTAAAGATTTACTATGTGCTAAGAACTGTGCTAAGCATTTACCACGCACTATCTAATGCTTAAAACAAACAAATACATAGAGTACTACAGCTGAACCCATTTACTAGGTGACAAAAGTGAGTCTCAGAAGAGCTAACTATTTTGCCCAAGTTCACAAAAAGCATGGCAGGCATGGAATATGAACCCTAGTCTATCCAACACCCAAAATTAAAATAACTGTAGGGCCTGACAAGGAATATATAAAAGAAACACAAAATCCAATTTGACCAGGAAAAAAAAAATTGATTGAAGGGTTATTTTTGAAGAAAAGGCCAGGCATGGTGGCTTATGCCTGTAATCCCAGCACTTGGGCAGGCTGAGGCGGGAGGACTGTTTGAGGCCAGGAATTTGAGATCATCCTAGGCTCATAGTGAGGCCTCATCTCTACAAAAAAAAAAAAAAAATCAAAAAATTAGCTGGGCATGATGACGTACATCTGTGGTCCCAGCTACTTACTCAGGAGGCTGAGGCGGGAGGATCACTTGAGCCCAGGAGGTCAAGGCTGCAGTGAGCCATGATTGCACCACTGCACACCAGCATGGGCAACCTACCAAGATCCTGTCTCAAAAAAAGGTATGGGGGGTTGCAAAACAAACTCTGAACATGGATTCCCCCTTTGATGCCACATTCAGGACTCTTAACATAAGGAAAGGCACAGCATCTCTTGAGTAGAATTATCCTGGAAACACAGACCCCTTAGTTCCCTTTCCCAGTCTCAAATCTCTGACCAATAATAACTGTATCATGATTCTGTATTTTTAATCTGATAACCATGGCTTTCTGAGATGATAAAACTGTCCTCCTTAATTGGGTAAGTGGCATCACAATCCCAGAAAGAAAAGACATGAGCAATAAAATGAGGTATGGTATATCAAACTCATGGTACTAGTAGTACTTTTGCGTTAAGTTTAGGGTATGTGTTTTTTAAATGTTGGTAATTCAGATTCAGCTAATGAAAAGCACTGGAAGTCTTAACCAAAACCTGTTTTACTACATTTACAAATTTAATTTCTTAGTATCACAGATTGCCCAAGAGCTTAAGAAGTTTCTGTTTAAGGTGGTAACTCTGACCTGTCAAGGACTGACTGTGCCTGACAGACTGACTGTGTAAATGTATTTTAAACATCTAAGGAAATTTAATTCACTAAGTAAGGGGCCTGGAGCAATTAAATCTGTTAAATTTATATTAACTTAATTGACAAGCAGGTGAAAATTACTATTCTTATTTCTATACAAAATGCCTATGCTTACAAGTACAATAACAAGACTAAAAGAAAACTGGGTTTTAAATTTACCACTTTAATACATGTTAATTTAAAGCCCAAATAATTTTAAAATAGTCCTTCTGTATACAAAAGCCCTTTTCCCACATCAAAAAACTTACACATGTAACTGAGCTGCTCTATTAACCACTACTTGCTCAACAAAAGCCCTCTTCAAAGTAGAACCTTTGAAAACTTACCAAGTACAACTGGATAAGTATGGATGGTTTAAGTAATCTCTCCCACTAACATTGGGGAAACCGAATTGAGCTCCACTTAAGATCCCACCCAAAGGTAAGAACATCTCATCTCAATCTGCTATAACATTCACCCCTTTTGATAAACATAAAACTCTCCTATCTTCCCTTATTGTTACTTGAAATACCAAACTTAAGTAACTTACATTTTATGAGCATGTAGTATTTCAGCATGGTTTCACAAGTATTGCTCATAGTACTTGTGGATGCCTATGGAAAGGGAAAGCTGAAAGGCAGGGGGAGAGAAAACTACCTTTTACTATATATACTATATATACTTTTAGAACTATTAACATGGACACATATTATTCAAATATATACATAATTTTAAATTAAGCAAAATTTTGAGACAAACACTAACAAACCTTTTTTTTTTTTAAATGCTTTTTCTTTTTGAGACAGGGGTCTCACTCTGCTGCCCAGGCTGGAGTGCTGTGGTATGTTCACTGCAGCCTTGATCTCCTGGGCTTAAGCAATCCTCCCACCTCAGCCTCCCAAGTAGCTAGGACTATGGGTGCATGCCATTACACCTGGCTAGCTTTTATTTTTCTGTAGAAGCAGGGTCTCACTATGTTGCCCAGGCTGGTCTCGAACTCCTGGGCTCAAGTGATCCTCCCATGTTGGCCTCCGAAAGTGCTAGGATTACAGGTGTGAGCCACCACACCTAGCCTGAAAATGCATTTTCAAACTTACGTCTTCCCCACCATGTCAGTCATATTGAGAATCACTGATTTAGGGGTTCACAACTGCTGCTGATGGCACTACTGCTCACTGGGCATGAAATACAGGAAGAAAAGGGGTTTTCTTTGTCTTCCACCAGCTGGTAGCAAGAACCTAGCCCAGGTATAGTCTCCCTGAGCTTCTTCTATTTCTCATCCGTGTTTGAGGGCTTTGAGGGACCATTCTAGCTAACACCCCAAACTGGGGAGAGAGAAATACTGGCTGGAAATCACTGTGAAATCTGTCCCTGTTAACAAAGTGGGCAGGCCCAAGAGGTAAGAGGCACTGGAAGGCAGTGATCTCACAGACAGCGTGAGCAGAGGCACTGAGTCAGGGACATTCACATCACTGGGGACATGGGAACCAGGAGAGCAGAAGTATCCCCGTAAAAGCTTGGGCCTCCAGTTCCTTTTAGACAGTGAAAGTCCTGGAACTATCCCACACTGCTCTGGTAACAGTGCTGCTAACATTATCAAAGGAAGACATTCTCTTTACTAATGGTAGTATCAATGCATTTACAATATTGTAATAAGCCACTTGTCAACCAATATTTGAAAATTAGTTGCTCGTTAAGCTATTTGTCAATCAATATTTAAGAACTACTTGCACAATTCACAGGGGCCAGGTTTCAACTTCTTCCCACACACAAAAGCTCAGTTCATTAACTAGCAATCATCTCTTCCAAAAAGCCAGAAATCTAGAACCCTAATGCCTCTACTGCTTAAATCATACTTGTCCATGTATCTCCATCCCTATCACCACTCCTCCCACCCTAAGCCAATCCAGAACACCATCATCACTGGCCACATTTGCTCTAATAAACATCAAATAAGTCTCTATACCCTGCCCAGTCCGTTCTCCACAAACAAACCTTTTACTGCACATCCACCAATAAATAAGAGTATACATCCCCAACACATGTTCATTTATAAACAGAACACAGGTACTAATACCTATAAATACTACAAAACATTTCAAATGAAATACATAATGATCACAATAATGGTACTTCCATCAATTAAAATAGTAATGTAAAACCCATCTTAAAAATATTTTAGTGCAATCCATATGATTAAATATTTCTCATTATGTTTGAAAAATCTCATTTTAATATATTATAGAGCAATTTAAAAGCCTGATTCCAAGTTTTAATGCTATCATAACCAAAAAGAAACATGAATCCAAAGGAAGAAGCACTATGGCTGTGTTTACTAAACTGTGATAATCATTTTTTCACCCCCATTATACAAATATTTCCTTTTAAATATGGCTAGCAAATATCTATCTTCTGTGATATACTTTTGAAAATTAATCAAAGATACTACATTTTTTTATTTCTTTTTCTTTTTTTTCTTTTCCTTTTTTTTTTTTGAGACAGAGTTTCACTCTTGTTGCCCAGGCTGGAGTACAATGGTGCGATCTCGGCTCAGGGCAACCTCCACCTCCCAGGTTAAAGCAAGTCTCCTGCCTCAGCCTCCCGAGTAGCTGGGATTACAGGTATGCACCACCATGCCAGGCTAATTTTGTATTTTTTTTTTTTTTTTAGTAGAGACGGGGGTTTCTCCATGTTGGTCAGGCTGGTCTCGAACTCCCAACCTCAGGTGATCCGCCCGCCTCGGCCTCCCAAAGTGCTGGGATTACAGGTGTGAGTCACCGTGCCTGGCCACATTTTTCTATTTCTAACAAATGGACATGAAATCCACTAAAACTCTTCCCTTACAGTGGTTTCTCTTTTAATTTTTTACTATGGGAATTCTCAAACATATACAACAGTAGAGAAAATACTATAATAAACCCTTATATACCTATTATCCAGCTTCAATAATTATCAACGTATGGCAATTCTTGTCTCGTCTGTAATCCTCCAAACATGCTGAATTATTTTAAAGCAAATTCCAGATATCAACATCATTTCATCCAAAATACTTCAGTACCTATCTGTAAGAGAAAGGAGTCTTTCTTTTTAATGTAACCATACTACTATAATAACCTTTAAAAAATTAAAATTGTTTAAAAATCATCTAATATACAAGTGGTTTTCAAATTTAAATTACTCCCAATGGGCTCATAAATAACTTTTTACAGTTGGTTTGCATGAAACAGGATCTAAACAAGATCTATACTTATGTTCAATTAATATGTTTCATTCAAGTCTTTTTTATTTTTTCCAAGACAGAGTCTTGCTCTGTCGCCCACACTGGAGTGTGGTGGCATGATCTCACTGCAACCTCCGCCTCCTGGGTTCAAGCAATTCTCCTGCCTCAGCCTCCCGAGTAGCTGGGATTATAGGTGCGTGCCACCACGCCCAGCTAATTTTTGTATTTTTAGTAGAGACGGGGTTTCACCATGTTGGTCAGGCTGTTCTCGAACTCCTGACCTCATGATCCACCCACCTTGGCCTCCCAAAGTGCTGGGATTACAGGCGTGGGCCACCACGCCCAGCCTCAAGTCTTTTTTAATCTGTAGCAGTTCGTGTACTTTTTTTTTCTTGCCATTCATTTGAAGTAAATGGGTTCATTTGTCCTATAATATTTTTCACATTCTAAATTTGCCAATTATATCCTATAAACCAGTAATCAGATCTACACTAATCAGAGGAAGGTTTGACTCTGTTTGTTGGGGCAAGCAAGACTATTTCATGAATGATATGTTCTTCCTAGTATCACATAGAAAGAATATAAGATTTGGTTGTCCCAATTTTAGAGATGTTATGATTGATCAGAAGATTGTCACACTGATCCCTTTATTATAAAGTTCCCTAATGGTTTTAACAGCCACTGGTGACCAATGCCTAGATTCTTTACTTCATTAGATCATCTGGAAATGTTTTTAGAAACACATTTGGAGATTTTTATTAGGTTACAAAATTGTTTCTAAGGTTTTCATGTGTCAAATTATGAGAATTTTATAGATGCAACAAAATCACAGTCAGATCATGAGTCATTAAGGAAATGCAAATTAAAACATAATGCAATACCACTTTACACCTACTAGGATGGCTACAGTTAAAAAAAACAACAAGTGTTGACAAGGATATGGAGAAACTGATACACTCATACACTGCTGCTGGGATTGTAAAAAGGTGCAGGCGTTCTTTCTGTTCCTCAACAAAGTCAGTGGTTCCTCAAACCGGGCGCAGTGGCTTGTGCCTGTAATCCCAGCACTTTGGGAGGCCGAGGCGGGCGGATCACGAGGTCGAGACCATCCTGGCTAACACTGTGAAATCCCATCTCTACTAAAAATACAAAAAATTAGCTGGATGTGGTGGGGGGCGCCTGTAGTCCCAGCTACTCGGGAGGCTGAGGCAGGAGAATGGCATGAACCTGGGAGGCAGAGCTTGCAGTGAGCCAAAATCGTGTCACTGCACTCCAGCCTGGGCGACAGAGCGAGACTCCGTCTCAAAAAAAAAAAAAAACAAAAAAAACAAAAAAAACCAGAGAGTTACCATTTGACTCAGCAGTTCCACTCCTAGATCTACCCAAAAGGATATGTCCACGCAAACAGCTGAACACACAACCCACAGATGGGAAAAAATATTTACAGATCGTATATCTGATATGGGACTTATATCTAAAAATATATAAGTAACTTAATAATAAAAAGAGCAATAACTAAATTTTAAAATGAGCCAAGTATCTGAACAGACATTTCCCCAAAGAACATACATAAACGGCCAACAGCACATGAAAAGATGCACATCATAAATCATCATGGAAATGCAAATAAAAACCACAATGAGATACAACTTCACACCCACTAAGATGGCTATAATCAAAAAGAGAGTAACAAATGTTGGCAAAGATGGGAGACATTGGGACCCCTAAGCATTGCTGGGAGAAACTGGACCCCTATTGTATTGCTGCTGGAACCTTTGTGAGTTGCTACTGGGAATGGGTAGTCACTTTACAAAACAGTTTGACAGCCCCTCAAAGTTAGTCACCGTTTAACCCAGCAATCCTACTCCTAGGTATATATATATACCCAAGAGAAATTAAAACCTATGACTACACAAAAATTTATACATGAATGTTCACAGCAGCATTATTCATAAAGCCAAAAAGTAGAAACAAATAAATGTTCATCAATTGATGAACCAGTTAGCCAAATGTCGTATATCAATATAATGGATTATTATTCAGCCATAAGAAGGAATGAAGTACTGATACATGATACAACATGAATGAACCCCAGAAACATTATGCTAAGTAAAAGAAGCCAGCTACAAAAGGTCACATATTGTATGATTTCATTTATATGAAATGTCCAGAATAGGCAAATCCAAAGAAACAGGAAGATTAGTAGTTGCCAGGGACTGGAGGGAGGAGAGAATGGGAAGTGAGGCTAATGGGTGCAGGGTCTCTTTTGGGGTGATGAAATGTTCTTAAACTAGACAGTGGCAAAAGCTGCACAACTCTATGCATATACAAAAAACCACAGAACTGTACATTTTAAAAAGGAGAATTTTATAATATGTAAGTTATAGCTTATAATGATTACATGTAAAAAAAATTCCAACGAGGAAAACGCTCTACCATTGCACATTTCTTTCTTTTTTTTTTTTTTTTTTTTTTTTTTTGAGACGGAGTCTCGCTCTGTCGCCCAGGCTGGAGTGCAGTGGCGCGATCTCGGCTCACTGCAAGCTCCGCCTCCCGGGTTCACGCCATTCTCCTGCCTCAGCCTCCCGAGTAGCTGGGACTACAGGCGCCCGCCACCACGCCCGGCTAATTTTTTGTATTTTTAGTGGAGACGGGGTTTCACCGTGTTAGCCAGGATGGTCTCGATCTCCTGACCTCGTGATCCGCCCGCCTCGGCCTCCCAAAGTGCTGGGATTACAGGCGTGAGCCACCGCGCCCGGCCTGCACATTTCTTTCTAAGAAAAGAAGTAGTTCCTTTTTCACTCACTATTTAAATAATACTTTTACTTGAAGAGACAGATTAAGATATTATTTTTTCAAATGATATTTGCTAGGTTCAGGTTGAGTATTCCTTATCTGAAATGCTTGGGACCAGAAGTGTTTCAGATTTAGGTATTTTTCAGATTTTGTACTATTTGCATTATTCCTACTGGTTGCAAAATTAGCTGGGCATGGTGGTGCATGCCTGTAGTCCCAGCTACTCAGGAGGCTGAGGTGGGAGGATCACCCGAGCCCAGGAGGTCAAGGCTGCAATGAGCCATGATCATGCCACTGCGCTCCAGCCTGGGCTACATACAGAGTGAGAACCTGTCTCAAAAAAAAAAAAAAAAAAAAAAAGTGTTGGATTTGGAAGCCTTTTGGATTTCATATTAGGATTACTCAAACTGTAGCCACTTACCATAACAAAAAGTTGGCATTTTTTTAAAAAAGAAAAATGCAAAACTCATCAACAACTCTACCACAAGATAATTAACAAATAAGTGGACTCAACAGCCTGCCCATAGAGAAGTAATGAATGAATTTCATTCTTTTGTTCAGTCAAAGCAGCTGTTCCATTAATTTACATTCAGTCTATTATTCCATATAGTAATGTTCTTATGAAGGCAATCATTTACTATTAAAAATATGTCTTCTCCAGTACAACTTTCTTCCAGTAGCTCACAAAAGAAGTGGTCCTTATTCTTGGATGTAACTATTAAAAGGTAATCTAGGCCTGGCACAGTTGGCACGGTGGCTCATGCCTGTAATCCCAGCACTTTGGAAGGTCTTTTGGCAGGTGGATTGCTTGAGCCAGGAGTTCAAGGCCAGCCTGGGAAACATAGTGAGACCTCATCTCTCCTAAAAATAAAAAATAAAAAAAATAGGTATGGTGGTGCATGCCTGTGGTCCTGGCTACTTGAGAGGCTGAGGTAGGATGATCACTTGAGACTGGGAGGTCAATGCTGCAGTGAACCATGATGGTGCCACTGCACTCCAGCCTGGGTGACAGAACAAAACTGTCTCAAAAAAAAAAAAAGAAAGAAAGAAAGAAAAGAAAAAAAAGAGTATCTAGCGATACTGAGACATGCTAGAAGCTTCTGTACTTTTATAACCGTATACCAAACTTCCCACACTGCAAAATTTGTTCTAATATTGTTTGTTCACATATTCAGCAATGTTTTCTATACATCTTCCAACAGTATTTTGATTTCCTGACAAAATTATTTTCCATGTAGTACATCAGTCCATTTTTTGTTTAAGTGGGCCTTTTGGGGGTGGGGCAGGAAGAATCTGCCAAGGGTATGTGTTTTTTTGTCTTTTTTCTTTTTTTCCCCTGAAACAGTCTCGCTCTGTCTCCCAGGCTGGAGTACAGCGGCGCAACCTCAGCTCACTGCAATCTCCGCCTCCCAGGTTCAAGCGATTCTCCTGCCTCAGCCTCCCGAGTAGCTGGGACTACAGGTGTGCCCACCATACCTGGCTAATTTCTGTGTTTTTAGTAGAGACAGGGTTTTGCCATGTTGGCCAGGCTGGTTTCAAACTCCTGACCTCAAGTGATCCGTCCACTTCGGCCTCCCAAAGTGCTGGGATTACATGCATGAGCCACTGCACCCGGCCCCATTTTGTCTTTTATAAGAACAATAAACTTAAAAACTGGCCAGGCATGGTGGTTCACATGTGTAGTCCCAGAGCTTTGGAAGGCCAAGGTGGGAAGATCGCTTGAGCCCAGGAGTTCAATGCTGCAGTGAGCTATCATTGTGCCACTGTACTCCAGCCTGGGCAACAGAGTGAGACCCTGTCTCTTAAAAGCAAAAAACCCTCAAAATATAAATTTTAATAATTGAAGTTAGCAAAATTTTGTAAAGCATCTGATGGAATATCCTTTATCTTTAAACATCACTGCAAAAAAAATGTAGAGGTTCTTTTTATGTTCCAAATTTTTGGTTTTCAAATGTCTTCATACTGGTGACAGCCTCATATTTTATTATTTAATATCTCAAGGTTTTACATACTTTTTTTTTTTTGGAGACAGAGTCTTGCTCTGTCACCCAGGCTTGAGTGCAGTGGCGAGATCTCGGCTCACTGCAAACTCCGCCTCCTGGGCTCAGAGGATTCTCCTGCCTCAGCCTCCCGAGTAGCTGAAATTACCCAGAGGCACACGCCACCACGCCCGGCGAATTCTTGTATTTTTAGTAGAGATGGGGTTTCACTGTGTTGGCCAGGATGGTCTCGATCTCTTGACCTTGTGATCCACCCACCCTGACCTCCCAAAGTGCTGGGATTACAGGTGTGACCCACTATGCCCGGTCCTCCTCTTTTTTTTTTTGAGACACAGAGTCTCCCTCTGTCCCCCAGGCTGGAGTACAGTGGTGCAATCATGGCTCAATGCAGCCTTGAACTCCTGGGTTCAAGCAATCCTCTGCCTCAGCCTCCCAAGTAAGTGGGACTACAGGCACGTGACACCACACGGCTAATTTTTTATTTTTGGTAGAGATGGGGTCTCGCTATGTTGCCCAGGTTTGTCTTGAGCTCCTGGCCTCCTGCACCTCAGGCTCCCAAAACAGTGGGATTATGGGTGTGAGCCACCGTGCAGCTGGGTTCTACATACGATTAAAAGGAATCTTAAAGCAAGATTCCTATTAATGACAGAGCACGAAAGTTCATGTTTCTTATAAATTTCCTGATACTTTCCAATTTAGTAAGAGCTGACTTATTTGAATAGCTCACCAAGAATTCATCACAGGAGTTGGACAAGTGTCAGCTCTGACAACTTGTTTGCTTGTGCTTGTATTATTAGTATTTTCTTTGATCACTGGTTTCTCTGCATGTCCATTTTGTAAAGGCTAGTTCAATGAGAACTGGTTAATATAAACTGTTAACAACATGTTGCAATACATGGAGAACAAATGTATAAATATGTCTCTGCTCACTGCAGAATTCAGTCTCTTCCTTCAGGACACCCAAAGTTCTACAGTTAACACATTAACTGTTTGACCTATAGACCCAAGAAGATGCCAGAGACAATTCCTAAATTAAATGTTTTATCTTATCTTTTAGATAAAAACAATAAAAAGTTCTAAATTTTCTTCCAGTTCCCCTGGATCATCTTATCTACCTCAATTTGAAAACTACTGCTCTGGACTACAGCCACAGTGAACTTTTTAACAATTGCAAATCAGATCAGTTCACTCTCCTGCTTAAAAATCCTTCAAAGATTTAGCTCTGCCTTCAGGATAGAGTCCAAAATCCTTGCATGCCATACAGGACCCTCAACTCTGCTCCTTGCCATTCTCTAGTCTCAACACTGTCCTTAGTCTCTAGTTCTCAAGCCTGGCTACACATTAGAATCACCTGGGGAGTTAAAATATATATACAGGTATGCATCACTTAACAATGGAACACATTCTGAGGATGAGTCCTGATGTGATTTCATAATTCTGCAAACATCATAAAAGGTACTTACACAAAATGAGATGGTACAGCTTGCTACGTATCTAGGCTATATTGTATAGCCTACTGCTCCTAGGCTACAAACCTGTACAGCATGTTACTGTACTGAATACTGTAAGTAACTAACACAGTGAGTATTTGTGTATTTAAACATATCTAAAAATAGAAAAGGTATAGTAAAATTATGGATTATAATCTTATGGGACCACTGTGGCATATGCAGTCTCTCCTTGATGGAAACATCGTTATACTGTGCATGACTGTATACACATTCTCAGGCCCCAACTGAGACCAATTAAATTAAAATGGCTGCGGGTGGGGCATTTGCAACCCTGATTTTTCTAAGTTCCCCAGGTGAATCTAAAGTGCAGCCTAGGCAGAGAATTACTCTGTCACTGCAAGCCACCTGCCCCTTCCTGCTCACCATGGTCAGCCAGTTTTAGGTGCTCACCAAGCTCTCAATTAGGCCTTGCTACACCAAGTGTGATCCACCCACCAGCAGCATCTGCCTCACCCAGGAGCTGGTTAGTAACACAGAATCCCAAGTCCCACCCCAAACCTACTGATTCAGGACTTGGCATTTTAACAAGATTCCCAGATGGTTCATGAGCACATTCAAGTTAGCGAAGCGCTGCCCTGAGCTACCAAATCCCTTCTCAGCTCAGGGCCTTCACAAATGTTTAACTGCAAATGTTGTTTAGCTGCTGAACTTCTCTGACACTCCCGACACCCTATTCTTCCCCTTTCATCACATCTATAATTACCATAGGTGATTTTAATGTCTGTCTACTGCACTAACCTAAAAGTGTCATGAGGACAGACATCACATCTATGTTACTCTGGGGTGTCCCCAGCTTCCGGCACAATGCCTGGTATTTCCAACTGAACAGCATCTAGCCTTATATTTTATACTGCTATGATCCTATTCTAAACTTCCACAATATTTCAATCTCATCAACCAAATCTTTCTTCAACCACAAGTTGGCTTCAGTTACATAAATCTTGGAGATAATCTATATCACAGCACTGTACTTCTTTCAAAAAATCTAAATCAGCTACTGGTCTCTTTTTCCAAAGCAATGTAAATTAAACCTAATTCAAGGTATCATTACATTTCTTTGTAATAGCACTAGATGGGTTGTCAAGAAATGGCCCCATAAATTGCTGATAGTGCTGGAAACTAGTTCAACCTTTCCAGATTGCAATTAGGCACCGAAACTGTATCCTCTGACTTGGTGAGCCCAGGTTGGGAGTAAGAGTCCAAGGAAATAATCCAAAAGAAGTATTTGAACAAGGGGTATAAAAGTACCATTTATAATAGCAAAAAGGTAGAAAAAAATAAAAGAATAAAAAGGATTGCACCAACTACAGCTGTTGGCTGAGAGTGGTGGCTCACACCTGTAATCCCAGCACTTTGGGAGGCCAAGGCGGGTGGATCACTTGAGTCCAGGAGTTCAAGACTAGCCTGGGCAACATAAAAATGTCTCTACAAAAAATAAAAAAATTAGCTGGTCGTGGTGGCACAGACCTGTGCAGTCCCAGCTATTCAGGTGGCTGAGATGGGAAGATCATTTAGCCCAGGAGGTCAAGGCTGCAGTGAGCTGTGATCATGCCACTGCACTCCAGCCAGGGTGGCAGAGTGAGACCCTGTCTCAAAAAAACAAAAACAAATTTAAAAAAAACTACAGCTGTCGATGCATGGAATACTATACTGTGATTTTTTTTTTCTTTTTTTTGAGACGGAGTCTCGCTCTGTCGCCAGGCTGGAGTACAGTGGCAAGATCTTGGCTCACTGCAACTTCCGCCTCCTGGGTTCAAGTGATTCTCATGCCTCAGCCTCCCGAGTAGCTGGGATTACAGGCACGCGCCACCACACCCAGCTAATTTTTGTATTTTTAGTAGAGATGGGGTTTCACCATGTTGGCCAGGATGGTCTTGATCTCTTGACCTCATGATCCACCTGCCTCAGCCTCCCAAAGTGCTGGGATTACAGGCGTGAGCCACCGCACCCAGCCTGTGATTTTAAATGAACAAATACTTAAATGAGTAAATATAAAATATTTTATGCTATTGAAGAATTCAAAAATCATATTCTATATGTACTGACTGCTACTATAAAAATTATGTCTTGTACACTGACACAAATGGATGTGAATTTAGAGTAAAATAAATAGTTTTACATTTAATGGATTCTCTTTTCCATAGAGAATACATTAAAATAAATTTTAATGTTGGGCTATTTTTGGGCCTGCTGTTCAGTTTTATTAAGTTAGTGTTATATTATTGCTATTTTTGTTGTACTCAGACTCACTAAAAAACCATTTCTTCACCGGGCACGGTGGCTCATGCTTGTAATCCCAGGACTTTGGGAGGCCAAGACCAGCGGATCACCTGAGGTCAGGAGTTCAAGACCAGCCTTACCAACATGGAGAAACCCCGTCTTTACTAAAAATACAAAATTAGCCAGGTACAGTGACACATGCCTGTAATCCCAGCTACTCGGGAGGCTGAGGCAGGAGAATCGCTTGAACCCAGGAGGCAAAAGTTGCGTGAGCCAAGATAGCGCCATTGCATTCCAGCCTGGGCAACAAGAGCAAAACTCCATCTCAAAAAACAAACAAACAAACAAACAAACAAAAAACATCTCTTCAGCTTTGTCATTTGGAAACATTTATTATTGCACTGGAAGTAAAATGACAAGATTCTATATTTGGCCAGTTTCCCTCTCATAACTCAAACTTCCCCTGCATCTCATTTTTTTCCATGTGAAAATGGAGAAAAATAATGCAATAATGTTTACAAACTGACACTGAGCACCTCCAATGAAAGGTGCTGGCAAATACAAACATGAGGGGTGCAAAAATACAAAACAAAACACCCACCACCACCCGCACTGATCATCCTGCACAAGTTACTTTTATCCTTCTGAGCCTCAACATCTCCCTCTGTAAATTCAAAGAAACTGGCTAGAATCGCATAGGGTGGGGGAGGATTTGTGGAGGAAAAGTAGGCATATAATAGCTGAAAAAGCATCGTAGTTGATCCTCCTGAATTCTCCAAAGATCATCTATCCAGCTATACACTTTGGGGGAGAGGATAAATTGGTACAACCCCCCAGAAACGGGTGGCAGTTTGGCTCCATGTCTGCAAATCAAAAATGCAGACATATCCCTTGACCCAGTAATTCTACTTCTAAAAGCATATTGTTCAGATAACTTTGCAAATGAGCACATAACACAGTATGTACAAGGACATTCATTGCTGTAAGAGAAGAACCTGGAAACAAATATTTAACCCAAAGATGTTACAGTACAGCCATACAACTAAATAAGTAAAAGCATGTCAACAGAAAGAACAAATAACTCTCTATATATGTTGATAATAGAATGATTTCCTAAATATGTTAAGTAAAAAAACCCAGTAAGGTGTGAGTGGTACGTCCCATGGTGGGAGGAGTATGGATAAGCAGGCACATATTTATAAAGCAACAGTGTCTATGGAAGGCCATATAAACTGAAAACTTCAGCCATCTCTGGGGAGGAGGTTAGGGAGACAGGAGACTTGGGGCCAGGGTAGGAGGGACATTTTTCTCTATATACTCTTTTGTATTGCTAGAACTTTTGAATTTTTCTCTCATCTGCATTAATTATCTTTTCCCAAAATTGAGCAGGATTCTCTCTACACCTTCCTCTGGGTCTAAGAGGCTGTGACTCTACCTCTGTCAGACCCAACCAGTGCCTCCTATATTGCAGGGGCATCTGCATTTGGCCCTATATTGCCCCCAAATGATCTTTCCAAAATTCTTTCAGCCCAAGTCCCTGACCTCCTTTAAATCCTCTAGTAGCTCTCCATTGTCCTTACCTGATCCAGCTATGATTAACCTCTTCCCTCCTCCCCAAGGACAGTGGATTCCTTCCACCACCAAGTTTGCTTGTGCTGCTCCCTCTTGCCTATGTGTGCAGTCCACCACGCGCAAACTCCTATGCATCCTTCATGATCCGAAGGCCCCCCCGTCCCAGGAAAGCTTTCCCAAATCACCCAGGCAGGGGATGCTCCCTACACAGCCTGGCAGAGGCTCTGCAAATACACGGCCAAAATTCAAATCTTGACTATTCCCTCATTTGCCCACTGTTTGGCCTCAGTTTCCAACCCTGTAGAGTAGGAATAAGCCCTTTTATGACTGTTGAAAAGACTGAGGGAATTCATGGAAAACATTACATAGCTTGTCACAAGGCAAATAAAAAATAGCTATTATTATTATCACAATCTTATAGCACCTGTGATGTATTTATATCCACCTGTCCTACATTAGACTCTGAGTTCCTCAAAGGTTAAGGACTGACTTCCTCACTTTTGTATCCCAAGCAATTCACCTGGCAAAGGGAAGACACATGAATGTACTGAAGTCAGAGGGGTGGTTTTTCTGGTTCTGTATTTCACCCAGATGTTAAGTGGCTAAACAGAGAACAGGCCCCGGGATCCCACCATGCCTTACAATGCACGGTATCAGCCAGGTCACTTTGAGCAGGCAGAGGTGAAAAGAGACTGAAGGGCTTTTAGTCTTTCAGAGACAGTTTTTTGGAGGCCAGTGGGATATGGGACCTACCAGTTCCCACCTGCTGACTGCTTATGGGGGCTGGGTGGGATGGACATGGGGAAGCCGGGAATCAGAAATACTAAAAGTCCTGGGCATGTACTCCAAGCAGGCCTTCAAAACACGAAAAAATCTCTTGGGAAGTGGATACCGGGAAATAAACAGAGCCTAGGCATAAGAGAGAAGAGATTGGAAAGAATCTACAAGACAACTTGGAGGATTCTCCCACCACGGGAGATAGAAAGGTGGGCAAGACACAGCTCCTGCCCGCAAGAAGCTTCTCAAATGAGAAGAACTTTAAAAGAAAAAGTGGAGCTTGGCAGGTAAAGGTGGGGAAGAAAGAGGATCACATAAAACAAAAACATCCCAACATGTGAGGGGGCAGTCAAGCAGCTCTGAATACTAGCCAGCAAGCGGGATGAGGGGAAGGAGAATTGGAGGATCCGATTAGGCTAAAAGTAAAGGAGTAAATTGAGGCAAGATTGTCAAGGGCTTTGTATGACCTGATAAGGCATTTTAGGCTTCATTCATCCCATGGGAAAAAGAAAAGCGAGGGAGTTTTTAAGTAAACAAGTGACAGCATCAGATCTGTTTCTGAAAGGAGTGGCCAGGCAGGAAGATGTTCGCCCTTTCCTAGTCAGTCCTCCTCTCGCCCACCATCTTCTGTTTCTCAGGCTGCCTGCACAGCTAGCAGGTGGCAAACGAAGCCATCTCCAGGGTGATGTGGACTGGTTCTAGAGCCGGAATCCCTCTCCTGAGCAAAGGCTTCTGATGGCGTTCACCCTGCAGAGGGTGGATTTGCACATTCTTCTTTTCCTGTCTTACAAATATCATCAGTGATCTCAAAAATAAAAACGAAACCCTCAAGACAGGACTCTGCTCTGCTATTTTTTTTTTTTAATCTTCAGGAGATATAATTAGTAACTAATTTTTTCAAAAAAAATTTTTTATTTACCGAAAGTAAAAAGGGAGGGGACCTGCGTTCTCAATTGGCCTATTCTGAATTCTGGGCAGCTCTCAGCCCTTATTTCCCTTCTTAAACAGCCTCAACAGTTGGGAGAGGGCGGCAAGGAGAGGGGCCTGGGAGACGGGCCGGGGGACCGAGGGAGGTGGACTTGAAGGGAAAGAAAAGTTGGTCACTGCAAAAGCAAATTTTCTCATGCCAAGAGTTTTCCTCTTTCCTCCCATTAAATGGACCTGAGCAAATTCTGTTCTCGCCGTTCTAAGTTTCTTCTCTGAGAATCAACTCTGGCAGTGCCCTGGCCTGGTCCCAGAAGGACGCATGCAAAGTTCCTGGGCAGTCGCGAGGGGTCGGCACTCGGGCCGGCACGTTTCCGGGGACCCCCTCCCCGCGACGGACCCGCAAGGATGCACAATCAACCTGCAGGCGCCCGCAGGCTTCTACCCGGAAAAGATGGCTTAGGGCTTCGGGCTCCGGGCTCTGGGCTGTGGCCCGGGACCCCTCCCACCGCCCCCGGGAGCCGCTCCCCCTTCCGGAGCCCACCCGGGCGCAGCGGCCGCGAACACTCACAGAGTCGGGCGTTGGGCGGGACCGCTGGGGACGAGGACAGCGGCTCCGCCTCGGCTCCGCGGCGGCGTTTCGGGCCGCCACTAGCCCTCAGGGCCGCCGCCCGGCCCGCGGCTCCGAGCCCCGCGGCGGCGGCGGCGGCCTCGCCTCCATGGCGAGGGGAAGCGGCTGAGGGGCGACTGGGCGGGCGACAGTGATGGCGGCAGCGGCCGGGGTCCGAGCGCGATCGCGCGCGCGCGCGTCTCTGTCAGCGCCGCACTCGCCGCAGCCTCGCTCCCGACCCGGCCTTGGCTGTAAGACGCGTGTTCATTGGCTGTTCAGAGACAGGCGCTGGTTGGCCGACAGCGAACGGGCGTCTCCGGCCCGCGCGGGCCCCGCCCTTGCGCTCCGCTGGGCGCTCACTTGCCGGCTGGGGCGCCGAACCCGGTCGCACGTTCTCCTGGTAGCTCCAGAGGGGTTCGCCCCGGGGCTGCCCAGTCCTTCGGGAAGCTGGACCCCGGAAGGACCGGCTGCGAGTGCACCAGTGCCTTCAGCCATTCTACAGTCACAGGCCTCATGACTTGGGCCTTCTTCCCAGTTTACAGATCAGGAAACCGAGGCCAGGCACAAACTACACCAATGTCTAGCCACCAGGGCGGCCTGCAACTCGAGAGCCATCTTCCTAACCCTCTCCAAACGTGATACTGTGGGTCTTTTTTTTCCCTCCCCTAATTGCTGCAAAGAACGACGGATCTCACTGGGGAGGGAGAGGAACCTGCCAAGTCCCTAGAACGGATCTGGCTCCGTGGGTGTCGTCTTATATCAAGTCAGCCCACGCCGTCCCCACCCGAGCTCCAGGGTAATCTCCCCCGCTTTCCAGATGCGCATGCTGGGGCCCCGCTCGCCACCGAGCTGAGTAGAAGCACAACACATGGTGCTCTGCGATGGAGGTGCCTTTTGCGATACGCCTGGCGGGGGAGGGGAGGCTCAAAACGCAGAGAGGAGCCAGAGTGCGCCCTCCCCCGGCCGGGGTTGGGGCGCGTACCCCCTTCCCGGCGCTCCCGGCACGGCGTCTGGTGCGTGACACCCGCGAAGCAATCGCTCAGTCCATCCAGCGGCAGCAGGTTCCTACACGGATCCCCGCGGGTGCTGCAGGACCTGAGCGTCTGCGGCTGAAAGCCGATTACGCAGTCGAGATAGGTGGTGGCAAATGCGACATTTCGCCGGGTTGTGATCCCCAGTAGGGACCCCTGGACATTCCGAGACCCGCGCAGGGCGAGCGGCTGGGCGTCTGCAGGCAAAAGACAGATTGCACAGTAGCGCACAAACCGAGCTTGCGGGTAGGGGACGCTTTATCCCAGACCCAGAGTCTGCGGTTCCCGGGGTAGGTGGCGGCGAGTCTCTCCTCCAGACCGGGCAACCCCTGAGTCCCCCTCACGCACCCCAGGCCGGAAGGAGTCCCACATTCGGGGCGCCCCCGGGGAAGGGTTGTGACCGGCGGCAACTCTTCATGGCAGGAAACACTGCGGCGCAAAAGGGGCTCCCAGCAGCCCCCACCATCTCCAGTCCTACCATCTCCGGTCCCCACCACCGCCTTCTGTTGGGGCGCCAGTTAGGGACTCTGTGCCCCACTCCTCCGTATTGTGGGCTCACATCAGCAGCCCCTACCATCTCCAGTCCTACCATCTCCGGTCCCCACCACCGCCTTCTGTTGGGGCGCCAGTTAGGGACTCTGTGCCCCACTCCTCCGTATTGTGGAATAAGTTAGTCCATGCTAACCAGAGCCAGGGCCTGGGAATATGGGTGGGGCGGGCCTCAGGCCGTCCCCTCCCCAGCAGGGAAGTCTCTCCTTGAGTGGGAGTTGTGACTCTCTCTCCCTCTCAGCAGGGCCAGCCTAGAGGTGAGGGTGAAATGGCCGAACCCGACACCTCTGACCAATAGACACTCCAGCCCAAAGGCCCAGAGTCCACACGCCTACTCTCCTAACGCTCAGACCCCAGTGAGGGTGGATCCTTCCCCACGCCCAACATTCACATATCCCCTTAAGTCCAAACTCAATCTATCCCGCAACACCGAATGGAAAAGTGAAAAGCAGGAAGTCAAAGTGTGAAAACCCCTAACAAGTAATGACTGCAAACGCAGGAGGTACCTCAGTAGCTGGGATAGCAGCCCTATGCTCTAGAACCAAACCCCACCAGCTTACTTTTGCCTTATATCTAATTTACACTATTATTTCTTAATATGTTTCTTTTTGTTGATTAGTTTTTTTTTACTTTTTATTTGTATTACCCTAGAAGGGGTTGACATGCTACTTATATTTTTAATATAACTGAAATAGTGATTGCAGTAAGTGTTCATCTTTGAGATTATCTGAAGGACCCCTTTTGGATATGACCACACTTGGAAAAATTGTTGTTGGGCGTGGTAGTCAAAGAGCCCGGGGTTTCCAGCCCCACCATGTGCTGGGTGACCTGAGCCTCCCTCTGCAACTCTTCCTGGAACTTCCCAGGGCTGTATTGAGAATTAGGCATGTTCAGCTTGGCAAGTAACCCATTCTCAGGAAATGAAAGTTCTTTCTCTCCCCATGAGACAGCTGCACTATGGTCAAAGCATTTGTGGGGTGTGCACAGGGGTGACAGAACTACAGACCAAGGAGAACTACAGACCCTGGAGACCCTGGGAAGGAGGGTTCAGCTCAGCAACCACACAGATGCTGTTTCCATTGGAAGAAGACAGAGCCCCCTCCTCAGCTGCCTGCCTGTAGAGACCTGCCCAGCCCTCCATCCTACTTGGCTCCCAGAGTGTCCTGAGCTCCCTCGCCCATCATCATCACAGAGTAAAGGGTTATCCTGGAAGAGAAGAGAACTGAGGAAGGGAAAGGAGGCAGTTTCCTGTGCCCAAGCCTACCCAAATGGGGGACTGCAGAGCCCTCCTACTCCTAGTCCTGCATTAGTCCCAACCCACAGGAGCACATACCTACAGGTAGGCATTTCGCAGCCACCCCACAGGTGCCCCAACAGTCACAGGGTTTATGAGCAAAGGAGAGGATCAGGAGAGCTGGAGGATGGGGGGAAAGGACTCCTGTTTCTTTAGGCAAGTCATTTCCCCTCTCGGGGCCTCCTTTCCCCTTCTAGTAAATGGAACAATGAGTCATTCTCGCAACAAATACTTATTGAGTGCAGACCATGTGCTGGACACAGCAGGGAATAAGACAGAAGAGGACAGAAGAGGCCTCTGCTCTCAGGAGCTTACATTCTGGATAGGAACACAGACAATAAACAAAAGAACAAGAAAATTTCCTAAATGCTGAAATGAAAATAAAGCAAGGCAATAAGATAGAAAGGTGAAGTAAATGAGAGCCAAGTCCCTTTGCAGGCCACACTGTTCAAACCCGAGTTTTTTTTTTCTTTTTTTTGAGACGGAGTTTTTGCTCTTGTTGCCCAGGCTTGAGTGCAATGGCACGATCTCGGCTCACTGCAACCTCTGCCTCCCGGGTTCAAGCGATTCTCCTGCCTCAGCCTCCCGAGTAGCTGGGATTACAGGCATGCGCCACCACGCCTGGCTAATTTTGTATTTTTAGTAGAGACAGGGTTTCACCATGTTGGCCAGGCTGGTCTTGAACTCCTGACCTCAGGCGATCTGCCTGCCTCAGCCTCCCAAAATGCTGGGATTACAGGGGTGAACCACTGCGCCTGGCCAACCCCAAGAGTCTTTCACTGGAACTTTGTATCTAAGAGACTGGACATACAGCCCCTTACCCTGAGAAGGTGAGTTGTAGGAGCCTTTGCTCGATATATATATATATATTTTTAAGACAGAGTTTCACTCATTGCCCAGGCTGGAGTGCAATGGCGCCATTTCAGCTCACTGCAACCTCCACCTCCTGGGTTCAAGCAATCAAGCGATTCTCCTGCCTCAGCCTCCCAAGTAGCTGGGATTACAGGACCCGCCACCACCCCCAGCTAATTTTTTTGTATTTTTACTAGAGACAGGGTTTCACCATGTTGGCCAGGCTGGTCTCAAACTCCTGACCCCAGGTGATCCACCCACCTAAGCCTCCCAAAGTGCTGGAATTACAGGCATGAGCCACTGCGCCCAGCCTTTGCCCTGATTCTCCCTGCACTGGCTACCACTGATACAAGAAGAAATGTTCCCAGATTCTTTGCCTCCAGCTACACAGTCCTAGTTCCTAGCCCCAATCCTAGCGTCATACATTGGACGAAACTTGGCCCTGCCCACCCATGTAGGCATAGGCCTGCTGTACAAACTGCTCAGGGCAGAAGGCATCTCACACTAATTTCAATTGAGTAAGCAAGGATTTGAAAAAAGAAAATCCCAGTTCTGGTTTTTAAATGTCACAATTCATAGGCTTATACATCTGTCAAAACTTAGAAAATTACATTTAAGATCTGTGGATTGCAATGTATGTAGATTTTGCCTGAAAAGAAAAAAAAAATTGCAAACCAAAAATGAACTCTAGTTATTGAAATGCATACTGAAGTATTTAGGGGGAGGTGTACTGATGTCTGCAACTTACTTTGAAATATATGAAAAATACGATGGATTGACATAGAGGAATGGATAGATGAACAGATGTGTGATATAGTAAGATGCTAATGGTAGAATCCAGTGGTAGTTACACAAATGTTCACTGTAAAATTATTTCTACCTGGCTGTATGTTTGAAAGTTTTTATAATAAACTGTGGAGGTGGGGGGCAAATCAGTGATTAACTTTACAAAAAAGTATACAAAACTGCCTTTTTAAAGCAACTCTCCCCATAGACAATTCCAATGCTTCTCTACATGCACACACACCTTTTATAAAGTTGAAATCACTGTTGATATACATTTGTCATCAGTTAAAAGTTATTTCTCACATATTTCTAAAACTTCATATGTACAGTGTTTGTTTACATAGCCTATGAGTAAATATACTGTATGTTACTTTGGAGATGTGGGTTTTGTATTGTGTACATTCTAAAAGCACTGGTCAAGCCTCCCTTTCCAGAGAGGAAAACTGGGTTGTTTGATAGCAATCCTTTTTCATTGAGAACTCGAAAAGCTGGGAAAACATTTTTTAAAGGCATCAAAGAGCTACCAGGGCAGTGAGGAATTGTGGGGCCAAGACTGGGGACAAAAAAAAAAAAAAAAAAAAAAAAAAAAAAGCCCAGAATGATGAGCCCAGCATTGGGGATTATTTCCTTTCCTCTTGTCTGCTGATTCCAAAAGGGAAAGCTGATGGGCTGTGCCAGATTGTGATTCCAAAACCTAGCCACAGTATTTCCAGAACTTTGCTACTCCCTATCAGGAGGTGGAGTCCAGGCCAGGTTCAGTGGTTCATGCTGTAACCCCAGCACTTTGAGATGCTGAGGAGGGAGGACTGCTTGAGCTCAGGAGTTTAAAACCAGCTTGGGCAACATAAGGAGACCCCCGAGACCCCATCTCTACCACGCAAAAAAAAAAAAAAAAAAAAGAGGTGGAGTCTATTTCCCCTTGAAATTGGTGGGGTGGGCCTGTATTACTGCTGTGACAAATACTCTAGCAGATGTGACACCACGTAACTTCCAAATCTAGGTTAGGAAGGCAGTCCAGATTCTACCTGGCACCCTCTTGGGATGCTTGTCCTTGGGACCCAGCCACCATGTTGCAGGTGTTCTGGCAGACCACCCCAGCTAAGGTCCCAGTGAAGAACCAGCGTCACTCACCAAGTGTGTGAGTTAGCAAGCTTTCACATGATTTCAGCCCCTAGCTATCAACCTTTTAGTCTTCCAGCTGATGCCTCAGACACTATGAAACAGACACAAACCATCCCTGTTACAACCTGTCCAAATTCTTGACCCACATAATGAATGGCGAGCATGATAGTTATTTTACCATTTGACTTATATCTCCTTGAAGGACTTTCACAAACTTTCATTTACAAGTCAGGTAGGAAAAGGAAAAAAAGAAATACCTTCTCAGGCCCTGAGTCTCTCACTGTCTTTCTAAAAGCATGGTCGGCCCTAGGGGTGTTAAATAGGGAGAGGCCTGAAGCTCCAGTGAGGCCTGCACTCCCTCTGGCTGTGGTTTCCTCCTTGTAGACAAAGTGGGGGCGACAAAGGAAAAGGCAATGCCCTCAGTGTTGGGTGGGGCCCTGGGCATGAAGCCAAGGTGCACTGGAGTGCCAAGGGAAGGCTAGATAGGGAGAGCAGAGGGGGTGCACTGGAGTGCCAACGGAGGGCTAGACAGGGAGAGCAGAGGGGGTGCACTGGAGTGCCAACGGAGGGCTAGACAGGGAGAGCAGAGGGGGTGCACTGGAGTGCCAACGGAAGGCTAGATAGAGAGAGCAGAGGGCCCCGCGGGTACTCCTACTGATTGCGGGTCTGGTGTTCATGGTTCTTTTTGGCAGAATTGAAATCTTCCATCCTCCTTCTCTATTTGGCCCAGAGACAACTTGGAATTGCTCACCACAGTTCAGTGGGCAAGAGTTCCAAAGGCCACCACCCCCTGACCCCTATGGCCCGCAGGCCACACACTTCTCATTAGTCCTCCAATCACCACTGCAGTGCAAATTGGGGCCTTGCCTCAGGCTCCCTTCTCACAGAGGGCCCGATTCCAGTTCCAGCTTGCACTTGGCCCGGGGTTTCAAATCCCTGTTTTGCCACATATTTGTTATTATCGAACTCCCTGGTCCTCAATCTCCTTTCTGTAAAGTGGGGTGATGTTACCTCACAGGGCTGTCACGAGGAATAAAGGAAGTACAGGCAGCAAAAGTGTTTAGCGTGGTTCTTGCGTGTTTACACGCACACACACAGAATGCTTTACAGTATGTTCTTGGTGAGCTGGTGCTTAAGTTTTGTGCCATCTCTCCCTATAATCTTCCTAGGAGCTGTGAGATAGAGAAAGCTTTCCTTGGTAACTGTGGAGAGGACACGTTTCTTGCGAGTATGGCTGGAGAAGCCCCCACCTCCGGTCCCAACACAACGGAACACATGGAGTTTTGCTGTGGTGTCTGGAGGATCCTGTCTTGAGCTTGCCTTTGCTTAGGCTGGACTGTGTAAGACAAGCACTGTGAAGTGTTCCAACTTTATTTAAAACCAGACAGCCCTGCTACCATGCCCCCGCTCCTCAGCATTGCTCTAGGGGAGGAGCTGGATGAACTATGGCCCTTCTGCCAAGCCCAGGTGCTAGGGGAGGAACCCCTTGCTTGAGATGTACAGGATGGACTCCTCACTTCTTCTGGGCTTGTGCCCTGGCCCGTTGAATCTTGTCAGCTGTGGCCCCATCTGTGGCTCCCGTGCAGTGGGACAATACGAGGCTCAGCTCAGCCTCATTCCGGTGTTCGATGGCCACATCTGCAGCCTGAGCCACATCGCTGTGGTTTGAGCAAGAGAGGAGGTGGTGTTGGGGCTGCTCAAGGGCACAAACCCTGCCTCTCACCAGCCCACAGCTCAGCCACCCAGCACCCACAGGCCCTCAGTTGACGCACCCAACAAGAAGCAAAGCCTTGACCTTCTGCTCGGGACCCACGCGGGAAGCATACTTCTTGGCTTCGTATTTGTTATGTTGTTTCATGCAGATCTCCACAAAAGGCTTGGAGGAGAGGAAGCGGGTGGAGGGAGAAGGTAATGCACAGCCCTCCTGTCCTCTCTCTTACGAGCAGAGGCGCAATGCATACATCGTCCATATATATTCTATATGTATACACCCGTCAGTACATATAATCCCCCAACCCCCATGCACAGACAGTTGTGATCTCAACATTCTTAGGGCAGAAATCACCTAAACCAAAGCTCTGTCAGAGACTTGAGACCAATTATTTCCACGCTTCTGCTCTACCACCCACCATTACCCCTTGCAACAGGCGTTCCTGCCACCAGCCCTCACATTTCCTGTGTTCTCTTGTGATTGACATTCTCAAACCTGCCCTATACACCTCTGAACTACCCACCACAGAAAACAGCCCTCAGTATCTCCACTGCCTCCCATATGCACCCTCCCTGTGCCCCCTCCACCCTCCTCAGACAAGACTTTCCCTCTAGCACATAGTGCCCCCTGTGGCCCTCCCTGGGGAAAGCAGCTCATTCTCTCTCCCCGTAACATCTGCAGGCAAACTTGGACCCATCCTCCAGTGCACCCAACACAGCAGATGATGCCTGCCCACAAATGTGTATACAGGAAGCACTCGCTAACTATGCGGGCAGCTGAACAGGAGCATGAACGGGCCATCCTATCTGTCTCCCTGCCTAGCCCTCTCTCCCGAAGACTACCCTCACTGGAAGTGGGCTGGAGGGAGGACCCTGCCTCACCAGGTAGCCAATGGGTGATTTCTTGCTCTTGGAAAACTTCTCTAGCTCTTCCCAATCTTCCAAATCTGCCAGGGCAGTCAGCTTCAGCCACCAGAGCCTGCAGGAAAGCTGGGCTTGGAGGTGTTGCAGGAGAGGCAGGTGGTCCTGGGACCCACATGCAGCCTGGGCCCTCACCTACCTCTTGTCAGGGATGCGGAAGTCACGTGCCAGCTGCTCTGCACGCTTGTTGTGACCGCCAAGAATGAGGGTGGTAACTGTGTCATGTAGAGACAGGTCTAGGAACTGGCCCCCCAGCTCGTCTTCTAGGCGCCGCTGCAGCCGTAGGAGCCGCATTTGATCCTCTGTAGCCTGGGGACCCGGATAATGAGGCATGATGGGGATGAGGGACCAGGAGGGAAGACCAGGAGACGAGGAGGCTCTTGGAAAAAGGTGGGCCAAACCTTGGCTGCAAACTCATTCTTGGCCTTGTAGAAGGCATCGGCGGCTGTCTGCAGAGCTGCTACTCGCCCCTCAATACGCTATAAAGACAAGAAGGAAGGCCTGAACTCACAGCATGCAGGACCCTCGCCCTCCTCACCCAGGCTACAGTCTTCTCCCCCATCCCTGTGCCCAGGGTCGCCAGGGTCAGCCTTGCCTGCTAGGTGCACCACTCTGAT
This sequence comes from Homo sapiens, assembly GCF_000001405.40. NCBI lineage: Eukaryota > Metazoa > Chordata > Mammalia > Primates > Hominidae > Homo > Homo sapiens. The sequence continues at coordinate 2,864,839 of NC_000020.11, read as the reverse complement.
GTCCTAGAGGGATGGCTAGCTCCTCTGACACTAACCCCCATCCTGGCCTCACGTCAGAGTCTCCCTCACAGTGAGGACCAGATGGAGTGTGCACCCAACACGAAGGCCTAGATTCCTGAAGGAACCGGACCAACAGCCCCAGCCCACATGCCCCACACGCCCCACACGCCCCATGGATCTCAGACCTCTTCTGCAGCATAGCTGGCTCGGATGTGGAAGCTGCCCAATTCCTGGTGATTGTCATCCTGATTGTAAAGGTCCTTCAGCGTCTCTAGCTCCTGATGCTTACAGAACTGGGGCCACAGGCAGGCAATCAGTCAGCAAGGCCAACTCAAGTGCTCAGAAGGCTACACCACAACCCTGCCCACTACACACACCTGTCGGTACAAACTGAGGGCCATGGGCTGATTCCGAAGGGTCATGAAAAAATCTCCTCGGTTCAGCTCGTTCTTCAGGTGCAGCAACACCGTGAACACTGCAGGAGAGTAAGGTGGAGTGGGAATTCCAGCCAGGCTCCCACTTAGCCCAGGGGCCCCCCAGCCTTGCCCTCACCCAGGTCAGTGTCCCCGCTCTCGATGGCCTTGCTTAGTGCCAGTTTGCTCCTCTTCATCTTTAGGAGAAGGGGTACCTGCTCCCCTGAGCGTGGCTCATACTCCAGCAGCTGTGAGGTGAGAAGGAAGGCACAGAGAGAAGGAGCTGGCATGGGGGCCCTGAACAACCACATCAGAGTGTCTGTGGAGGGCTGGGCACCCACACCTTGATGGCCAGCTCCGTGCGGCCACAACCATAGGCTCGTGCAGCAATGTCGGAGTAAGAGACACCAGGCGTGTCCCCCAGCTTCTGGTTAATGGCTCGAGCCACATCCTCATCTGAGACATCCTTCTGTTGCACCTGCAAGGGATGCGGGGTGTCACAAACATCTGGATGCCATTCCTCACTCTCCACTCCTGCAAGCCCTTAGGACCCACCCCTTCAGTTCCCTTCCTCCCTCCCTTCCTTCTTCTTTCTTTCTTTCTCTCTTTCTTCTTTCTCTCTCTTTCCCTCCTCCTCCGCCCCCGCCACTTCTTTCTTTTTTTTTGAGACAGAGTCTTGCTCTGTCGCCCAGGCTGGAGTGCAGCAGTGCAATCTCAGCTCACTGCAACCTCTGCCTCCCAGGTGAAAGCAATTCTCCTGCCTCAGCCTCCCGGGTAGCTGGGATTACAGGCATGCGCCACCGTGCCCGGCTAATTTTGTATTTTTAGTAGAGACGGGGTTTCACCATGTTAGCCAGGCTAGTCTCGAATACCTGACCTCAGGTGATTCGCCCGCCTCAGCCTCCCAAAGTGTTGGGATTACAGGCATGAGCCACCGTGCCCAGCGCAGTTCTACACTTTCTATTTCCTCCACCTCACCAGGGCCTGGAATCCTCTAAATGCCCTTGGACCCCATCCCACATCCTTGCCTTGTAGCAGGCCCAGTGGGCCAGGATCCTGCTGACGCCCTGTACTTCAGGAAGGCGCAAGTACTCGCATATCTGGATGGCCAGGGGGTAAAGTCTCCGCAACACGAGCCTGGTAGACCCGGTGGGTAAAGGATACAAGGAGTGAGGTGGAGGAGAAAGGGAGCAGAGTGGCCTCAGCCTGCACATCAGGCCTCCCACATCCTAGATAGGTCAGGAGCAGTGACCATAAGACCCCACCCAAGGCTGTAATGCCCACCCCCCTGACAGCCCGCTCACTGCACCCTTGGGCTTACCCTACCTGTCCAGCAGCACCTGGATGGTGAGCTGCTTATATCTGTATTTTCCTCGGTTAAGGATCCAGTTGGAGAATAAGCCCCGCTTGCCAGGTACCTGCAGACGCATCTCCAGCCCCTTCCCCTGCCACCCCTGGCTGTAGGGTACCCTTCTGGCGTGCACAGGGATACTGGCTATAGGTGAGCGGGATCCCGATGTGATAGTCCCGAACAGCATTGAGCACACGCAGGTCCTGACACATGTGCACGAAGCTGTCGGGTGGAAATCTGTCCAGGAAACACTTTCCGAAGGAGGCGGCCTGAGAAGAGCCAGAGGGCGATAGGAGAGAGCTTCCCTGCTGCCCATCCCACCCCCTCCCAGCCCCACCCTCCCCGGCCCGGCCATCCAGGCCAACCCTGAGCAGACTCTTCTGCATGTCTGGCTGGTGCTCATGTCCTGCAGCCTCAATGCACTGCTGCACGGCCTGGGTCAGCTGGCCCAGCTCCTGGATCTCCCGCAGGTACTCGTCCGCCTTCTGGCTCTCTTTCTGGTGGGGAGCAGTCCAGAGCCAGGGCATCATGACAGAGAACACTCCCACATCTGGCCCCTAACCATTCTGGGTTGTGGTTCAAATAAGCTGGGTTGGAGGAGCTGCACAGGCTGGAGCCCCAACTCCCTCAGCCCACTCAATCCACCTGAGGTGCCCACAGACATCATCTCGTATCAGCCCACAGCTGCCTTTAGGGGGGCCTTGAGAACTCCTCCCAATAGTAACCCAGACTGGGTGGGGATAGTGGGGATGCTCTGCCCGTCCCTATCACACCACATGGAGGACATAGTGTCTCTTCAGTTTACATGAGCCAGCCCTCCCCAGCCCAGACCAGTGTCCTGCCTGGACCCCTCTCTTGACAGGTGGCACCTGGCTATGCTCACACATGCCCACGCAGGGGCAGGAGGAACCATTCTGGGACTGGGAGAGAAGCCCAGGGCTTTACCTCATACTCCTTCTGAGCCTCCAGGAGCAGCGCCCCGGGGGCCATTGAGGCAATTTTGAAGATTTCCTCGCTGGCCGCTGGGGAAGGGAGTTGGTGAGTGAGGGAGAAAGGCAGGGAAACCCTCAGCCCTGCCTCAACACCCTATTCCTGCTCTGTGGCACTGGCCCAGGGCAGCTGGGGTGCCGAGGAGTCCCCACCTTGGGTTATGTGGTGCCCTTGTGAAGGCCTCACCTGGAACCTCATGCAGGAACTCGTGGGTGCTGCGGGAGAAGATGCGGACCCCATCGAGCTCAGGCACCAGGTAGGAGTCCTCATCCAGCACAAACCTGAGCTTGGTTAAGGCTCCTAAGAGCACCTACAGATGGGACGGGGCAGGTGAACCCTCCCCTCCCCTCTCTCCACACACAGGCAGCCCTCCAAGGATACTGGATGCTCTCGGGTGCATCGCCCACCACCATCAGCCGCCTTTCCCAGGCCACCACCACGGCCCTCTCCTTGCTACGAGGACGGCTGCACCTGTGAGCAGCATATACACACTGGCTAGACACTGTCCCATGGCCATGTCTCCCACATGGCTGCTCATAATCCTTTGTCTCGGGACAGCCTGTATACACTTGCATCACTGACTGTACACTGACCTCTCCACTTCCCTCTTATCCCTGAGCTCTCAGCTCAAGGCAGCTGTGGCCCACAGAGGACAATGGTTTCCTTCAAGTGTGCAATGGCAGAGAAGGTAAGATCCAAACTCCACTAGGCTTGGCCAGTAGACATGACGAATCAAGGAACTGATTGTCCCAGGAAGCAAGCTATGTCTCACCCACACCCCCAGCAATAACACCCCCATCCTTACCAGACCATCTGCTTTGGAGGTGCCCGGATGTTGCAGTTGAACTCACATAGCTTCTCCTGAAATGGTGTGGGCAATGTCATGGCCCTGTCCCAGCAGTCACCATTCTAGTCGAAAAGCCCTCCCGCATCACCAAAAGATCTTGTACCCTGGACAAGGCACAGTACCCCTGTGTTGCCCCAGGATCATACCTTGAGTGATGCTGTCCCCATCCAGATGTAGCCTGTGTCTGTGAAGAGTGCCAGGTGTCGGTAGGTGAAGGAGACAGCCATCTGTAGGAAGCTGCTTACTCCTGGGGCCAGGCCAGGGGGCGTCTGAGGCAGAGCCAGGGTAGGGGTGGGACAGATACATACTGACTTTTCAGAACCTCCCTATTGCCTAACCCAGCCCGTCCACTTCATTCCCACTCAGGGCCCTTACCACTGCGGAGCAGGCTGCATGGTCCAAGAGGTAAAGGTCAGGCCCCACAGCCAGAAGAATGTGTGCCACTCGGTCCTGGCACAGCACAGTCCAGCAGGAGGGTGCACTTTGCAGACCTATGGCCAGGGAAAAGGACAGTGTTAGGATGACCAAGGCCCACCGTTTCTGTTTCTATGGGTCTCTAGCCACAGCTTCTGTTTTTATGGGTCTCACAGGCTAGAGGCACATCTGTGGGTACTGCTTGGCTATCTCAGCGGTGTCAGGGCTTACCTGGCACCTCTGGCATCCGGCGGAGTTTGAGGTCACCCACATTGGCACTGAGGGTGAAGCGGTGGGCCCCTGTGAGGATGGCCACTCCGGAACCAAACTCAGTGTGAAAGATCCGGGCATCCAGAACCCGGTTCTGGAGCACTTCCTGAGGAAAGGGGGCCATGGGTTAAGGGAGCCACAGGGTCATAAACTCTACCCCGCGTCCCCAGCCCTCTGTGACCCCTACATTGCCCATGCTGAAGTGTCTCCGGAAGTCACCATGAAGCCCATAAACCAGTACAGCACCATCTTCCTGCACACAGAGCAGCTCCTCCTCAGCTGACCAGCCCAGGGACACCACGGGTCCACTCTTCCACTGCAGGGGAGAGAGGTTCCTAAGGCTGTCCTCAGGTGAGGAAACCCTGTCCAGCCCTGAGCCCCAGGGACCATCAGAAGTGCTCACCAGCAGGCTGGCCAGAGGCATGCCGGAAGCAGAGTATATATCGAGCACTGGCCTCACACTAGCAGCTTTCTCCTTCCGCCAGGGGTTCCTCAGCAGTGCTGCAGTTTGAGAAGAGACCTTCTGTCCTAGCTCCCTAGGCCCACCCCATGTGAAGCAGGCCTCACATCCTGGCTCCCCAGGCCCACCCCATGTGAAGCAGGCCTATAAAAACCAGAAGTAAAAGCATCTCAGCAGGGTGAGTGGGGGGTGGCAACAAGAACAACCTGACAGCAGGGCCCCAGGAATCAAGGACCTTGAGTTCATCCCAGGGTCCCAGAGCAGGTGGTGGTGGAGGGGCAACATACCAATGGGGCCCCCATAGGGTGCAGCAGCCACCAGGCAATCCCTGAGTTCCTCCTTCAGGTCCCAGTCCATGCTGTACAGCTCATATTTCCTGCCCACACAGAGATGAGCAGAAATTAGCCTCATTACCCTGCATCCGTATGGAGTGAACCCCAGAGGAATTCCTAAAGCCTCCATTTGTCTTCCACAAGGCTGTAGAGGAAGTCTCCACTCTCTACCCCCAGAGGGAGGGAGGAGGGTGATGACCAGAAAGTTGGGTGAACTGACCACATGCATGTCTAGGGACAGCAGGCAAGGGAGCAGAGGGTGTTGGCAGGGAAGGATGTGGTTCTTGGGGCAAGTGTCCAAGGATGGCAGGAGCTCTTGAGCCAGGCAGGCTGCGTGGCCAACATCCAAGGCACAAACTGAGATAGAACTAAAGTGAAGTGGCTGGCTCAGGCCAGCTTTAGCAGGAAATGAGACTCTCAGAAAAGGTCTCTCAGAGAAGAAAGCCTTTCTTCTATTTCTAGTCCTTCTTTTTTGAGAGAGGGTCTCAGTGTGTTGCCCAGGCTGAGGTGCAGTGTCACAGTCATGGCTCTTTGCAGCTTCAGGCTCAAGTGATCTTCCCATCTCAGCCTCCTGGGTAGCTGGAACTCCAGGGTGCACTACCACACCTGGCTAATTTCTGTATTTTTTGTAGAGATGGAGTCTCCCCATGTTGCCCAGGCTGGTCTCAAACTCCTGGGCTCAAGCAATCCTCCTACCCTGGCCTCCAAAGTGCTGGTATTACAGATGTGACCTGCAGTGCCTGGCCTATTTCTGGTTCTTAATGAATCAGGGTGTGGGCTTTATACCCAGGGGTTCAGCTCTATGCTTATTGATGATGAACTTAGTTTTAGAGGTACTGAGTTAGCAGTGCCTGAAAGAAATCCAAGAGGAGCTTTTCAGTGAGATGGTGCTGGGAGTCGTCCTGGATTGGGCATGTTAATCTGCCAATGCTTGGCTTATGGCAGGCAACCAAATCACAAATCACAACCAGGCATGAGATGATTGCAATGTGAAATGCTCATGGATCACTGAGTGTGTGCTGCATGGGAAGTTGGAGTAGGGAGCTTGAGGTATGTCATCATACCTCAAGAGTGGGGGAAAAGGGGTAGCAAAAGGGACTAAGAAGGAATGGGCACTATTCCAGGACACCAAGAGAAGACAGTGTTTAAGAAGGGCATTTCAGCCGGTATCATTTCAGGGACCTTCTCATTAATGATCAGGAATATGCCCATCATTACCTACTATTTGACATCCTTGTTGTGGTTCTAGCCAACATAATTTAAGAAAAAAAAATAAAGAGATGTTTATATTTTGATGAAGGAGCAGAGTTGTTTCTATTTGCAAATAATGTGATTGTCTACTTAGAAAATCCAAAGTAAGGAGTGAGGTGGCTCATGCCTGTAATCTGAGCACTTTAGGGGGCCGAAGCAGGCAGACTGCTTGAGCTCAGTGGACCGAGACTGGCCTGGGCAACATGGAGAAACCCTGTCTTTACAAAAAATACAAAAATTAGCTGCATGTGATGGCACATGCCTGTAGTTACAAGTAGCATGCCAGCTACTTGGGGGGCTGAGGCAGGAGGATCGCTTGAACCTGGGAGGTTGAGGCTGCAGTGAGCCAAGACAGCATCACTGCACTCCAGCCTGGGTGACAAAGTGAGACCCTGTCTCAAAAAAAAAAAACCCAAAGTAGTCTAGGGAACAATGAATACGAGACTCTCACAGAGGGCATAGGGTGATCAACAAAAATCAATCTATTTTCTATACCAAGAAATTTTCATACCATAGCAAGAATCGATTGGAAATACAACTTTTTGAGGTGAGGTGGGCAGATCACTTGAAGTCAGGAGTATGAGGCCAGTCTAGCCAACACGGTGAAACCCTGTCTCTACTAAAAATACAAAAATTAGCCAGGCGTGGTGGTGGGCACCTGTAATCCCAGCTACTCGGGAGGCTGAGGCAGGAGAATTGCTTGAGCCCAGGAGGCAGAAGTTACAGTGAGCCAGGATCATGCCACTGCACTCCAGCCTGGGGAGCAAGAGCAAAACTCTATCTCAACAAATAAATAAATAAACAAATAAATAAAATTAAAATAAAAATGCAAAAATTAGCCAGGTGTGGTTGTGGGTGCCTGTAATCCCAGCTACTCAGAAGGCTAAGGCAGGAGAATCACTTGAACCCAGGAGGCAGAGGTTGCAGTGAGCCAAGATTGTGCCACTGCACTCCAGCTGCCTGGGCGACAGAGTGAGACTCCGTCTCAAAAAAAAAAAAAAGAAAGAAATACAACTTTTAAGAGATCCTAATAATTATGGCGATAAAACTGTAAGATATCAAATGATACATCTAATGAAAATTTTACAAAATTAAATATTTTCCAAGGATATAGAAAACATGGAGCAATATCCAAAATGATCTATAAATGTACAGGAATTCCAATAAACACCTTCTGCCAATTATCTGGCCAGTGGAAGGGTAATGCACAAACTGATTCTGAAGTTCAAATGGGGGGCTGGGCGCAGTGGCTCACGCCTATAATCCCAGCACTTTCGGAGGCCAAGGTGGGAAGATCACCTGAGGTCAGGAGTTCGAGACCAGCATGGCCAACATGGTGAAACCCCATCTCTACTAAAAATACAAAATTAGCTGGGCATGGTGGCGCATGCCTGAAATCCCAGCTAGTCAGGAGGCTGAGGCATGAGAATTGCTTGAACCTGGGAGGCAGGGGTTGCAGTGAGCCAAAATTGTGCCACTGCACTCCAGCTTGGGCGACTGAGGGAGACTCTGTCTCAAAAAAAAAAAAAAAGAAAAAGAAAAAGAAAAAAAAGTTCATATAGGGGAAAAAGATCATCTGAAAGAGGAAATACCACAAAATATTTAAGAACATTTTGAAAATATGAGAACAGATGTATACCAGATACACACACTATATAAAATTAATTAAAACTATTATTTTGGCACAGGAATGTGCAAATAGATCAATGGAAGAGGATGGCGTCTAGGAAAAGATCTCAGAATTGAGCAAATAATAAAGCTAGCATTTCAAATTGGTGGAAATTGATACTTGAAACGAGACTATGGGCCATATAGGAAGAACCACAATAAATGCTATTTCATTATTTTACTTCTGTGTTAATATACAGAAAAATGCTCAAGAGACTTCCATACTAAACCAGACACAGTGATTACCTTTGGGGAGGGTGGTAGATGGGGTAGACACCTGCGGAGCTGTCCACTTTTATACTACAAGCATACATCATTTTGTTGCACTTTGCTTTACTGTACTTTTTACAAATTGAAGGTTTGTGGCAACACTGAGTCAAGCAAATCTATCAGCGTCATTTTTCCAACTGCATGTGCTCACTTCATGTCTCTGTGTCACAATTTGGTAATTCTCGCAATATTCCAAACTTTTTCATTATTATTATATCTGATATGGTGATCTGTGATCAGTGATGTTACTACTATAATTGTTTTGGGGTGCCACAAACTGCACCCATACATGATGGTGAGCTTAACGGATAAATGTTGTATGTGTTCTGACTGCTCCACCAACGAGCCGTTCCCCGATCGTCTCTCTCTCTCTCTCTCTTCAGGCCTTCCTATTCCCTGAGACACACAGTGTAGAAATTAGGCTAATTAAAAACCCTCTAACTGTTCAAGTGAAAGAAGAGTGGCAAATCTCTCACTTTAAATCAAAAGCTAGAAACGACTAACCTTAGTGAGGAAGGCACGTTGAAAGCCAAGACAGGACAAAAGCTAGGCCTCGTGTGCCAGTTAGCCAACTTGTGAATGCAAAGGAAAAGTTCTTGAAGGAAATTAAAAGTGCTACTCCAGTGAATACAGGAATGATAAGAAAGCAAAGTAGCCTTTTTGCGGGTAAGGAGAAAGTTTTAGTGAACTATGTATAAGATCACAACATTCCCTTAGGCCAAAGCCTAATTCAGAGCAAGGCCCTAACTCTTTAAATTCTATAAAGGCTGAGACAGGTGAGGAAGCTGCAGAAGTTTGAAATTAGCAGAGGTTTGTTCATGAGGTTTAAGGGAAAAAGCCATCTCTGTAATGTAAAAGCACAAGGTAAAGCAGCAAGTGCTGACAAAGAAGCTGCAGCAAGTTATCCAGAAGATCTAGCGAAGATCATTGACAAAGGTGGTTGGCTAAACAACAGGTTTTCAATGTAGACAAAACAGTCTTATATTGGAAGAAGATGCCATCTAGACCTTTCATAGCTAGAAAGAAGTCAACACCTGGCTTCAAAGCGTGTAAGGACAGGGCTGACACTCTTGTTGGGGCCTAATGCAGCTAGTGACTTTAAGTTGAGAACAGTGCTCATTTACCATTCTGAAAATCCTAGGACCCTTAAGAATTATGCTAAATCTACTCTATCTGTGCTCTAGAAACGGGATAACAAAGCCTAGATGACAGCACATTGTTTACAGCATGGTTTACTAAACGTTTTAAGCCCACTGCTGAGACCCACTGCTCAAAAAAAAAAAAACAAGATTCCTTTAAAAACATTACTGCTCATTGGCCAGGCGCGGTGGTTCATGCCTGTAATCCCAGCACTTTGGAAGGCCGAGGCAGGCAGTTCACAAGGTCAGGAGTTGAGACCAGCCTGGCCAATATGGTGAAACCCCGCCTCTACTAAAAATACAAAAATTAGCCGGGCATGGTGGAGTGCGCCTGTGGTCCCAGCTACTCGGGAGATTGAGGCAGAGGAGTCACTTGAACCCAGGAGGCGGAGGTTGCGGTGAGCCGAGATTGCACCACTGCACTCCAGCCTGGGTGACACAGCGAGATTCCATCTCAAAAAAAAAAAAAAAAAATTACTGCTCATTGACAACGTATCTGGTCCCCCAAAAACTCTGATGGAGATGTACAAGGAGATTAATGTTGTCTTTATGCCTTCTAACACAACATCCATTGTGCAGCTCATGGATCAAGGAAAGAGTGATTTCAATTTTCTTTTTCTTTCTTTCTTTTTTTTTTTTGAGATGGAGTCTCACTCTGTTGCCCAGGCTGGAGTGCAATGGTGCAATCTCAGCTCAACGCAACCTCCACCTCCCGGGTTCAAGCAATTATCCTGCCTCGGCCTCCTGAGTAGCTGGGACTACAGGCATGCACCACCATGCCCAGCTAATTTTTCTATTTCTTTAGTAGAGACAGGGTTTCACCGTGTTGGCCAGGCTGGTCTCGAACTCCTGACCTCAAGTGATTCGCCTGCCTCAGCCTCCCAAAGTGTTGGGATTACAGATGTGAGCCACCACGCCCGGCCTCAATTTTCAAGTCTTATATAAGAAATACATTTTTTTCTTTCTCTCTCTCGTTTTTTTTGTTTTGTTTTGTTTTGTTTTTAGAAAGACATTGTCTTGCTCTGTTGCCCAGGATGGAGTGCAGTGATGTGATCATGGCTCACTGTAGCCTTGAAGCCTCAAACTCCTGGACTCAAGTGATGCTCCAACCTCAGCCTCCTGAGTAGCTGGGACTACTGGCGCATGCTAGTGCACTTGGCTAAAAAATTTGTGTGTGTGTGTGTGTGTGTGTGTGTAGAGACGGGGTCTCTGTTGCCAGGCTGGTCTTGAAATCCTGGCCTCAAGTGATTCTTATACCTTGGCCTCCCAAAGTGCTGGTCTTACAGGTGTGCACGACCATGCTTGGCCTAGAAATACATTTTATAAGGCTATAGCTGCCATAGCTAGTAATTTCTCTGATGGATCTGGACAAAACTGAAAGCCTGGAAAGGTTTTCAGTGGTGCAATCTCAGCTGGAAAGGAGTCACCATTGTAGATGCCATTAAGAACACTTATGATTCATGGCTGGGCACGGTGGCTCACACCTGTAATCCCTGCATTTTGGGAGGCTGAGGCAGGCAGATCGCCTGAGGTCAGGAGTTCAAGACCAGCCTGGCCAACACGGTGAAACCCTGTCTCTACTAAAAATATAAAAATTAGCCAGGTGTGGTGGCGGGTGCCTGTAATCCCAGCTAATCAGTAAGCTGAGGCAGGAGAATCGCTTGAACCCGGGAGACGGAGGTTGCAGTGAGCCGAGATCATGCCACTGCACTCCAGCCTGGGTGACAGAATGAGACTTCGTCCCAAAAAATAAAAAAAATAAAAATAAAATACTCTTATGATTCATGAGAGGAGGTCAAAATATCAAAATTAACAGGAGTTTGGAAGAAGTTGATTCCAATCCTCATGGATGACTTTGAGGGGTTCAAGACTTCAGTAGGAGTCTCTGCAGATGCAGTGGAAATAGCAAGAGAATCAGAATTAGAAGTGAGGCCTGAAGATGTGACTGAATTGCTTCAATCTCAGCACTTGAACAAATAAGGATTTGCTTCTTATGGATGAGCAAAGAAAGTGGGTTTTTTTTTTTTGTTGTTGTTTGTTTGTTTTGAGACAGAGTCTTGCTCTGTCACCCAGGCTGGAGTGCAGTGGCACGATCTCGGCTCACTGCAACGTCTGCTTCCCAGGTTCAAGCAATTCTCCTGCCTAGGCTTCCTGTAGCTGGGATTACAGGCACCCAGCACCACACCCAGCTAATTTTTGTATTTTTAGTAGAGACACGGTTTCACCATGTTGGCCAGGCTGGTTTTGAACTCCTGGCCTCAAGTGCTCTGCCCACCTTGGCCTCCTAAAGTGCTGGGACTACAAGTGTGAGCCACCATGCCCGGCTGAAAGTGGTTTCTTGAGATGGCATCTACTATTGTGAACACTGTTGAAATGACAACAAAGGATTCGGAGTATTACATATACTTAGTTAATAAAGCAGCGGCGTGGTTTGAAAGGATTAACTCCAATTTTGAAAGTTCTATTTTGGATAAAATGCTATCAGACAGCATTGCATGCTACTGAGAAATCTTTCATGAAAGGAAGAGCCCACTGTTGTGGCAACTTCATTGTTGTTTTAAGAAATTATGATAGCCACCCTAACCTTCAGCAACCACAACTCAGATTAATTAGTAGTCATCATCACTGAGGCAAGACCCTCCACCAGCACAAATACTACACGTTGCTTAAGACTCTGATAATCACTAGCATATTTTAGCAATAAAGTATTTTTAAGTTACGTACTTTTGTTTAGACATAATGCTATTGCACACCTAATATACTACAGTATACTGTAAACATAAAACTTTTATATGGACTGGGAAACCAAAAAAATTCATGTGACGTGTTTTGCAATATTCATTATATTGTTGTAGTCTGGAACTGAACCCATAATATCTCCAAAGCATGTCTGTATATACTTTGGCATTATTTGAATTTACAACCCATATGCATTTCTTTTGACATTCTATAACTAAAATCATTGGGTGAAAAAACATCTGATAGGAAAATAGATATTCATACAAATCTAGCATGCCAGTTATCAACGCATTGCCTCTCAGCTCCAAATTCACCCTTTAACCCATGTTCTGTGGTAATGGTCAGCATTCCTTTAAACATTTCTCCTTTATAGTGAGCATGTTAAGCTTTCTCAGCAGAGGGCGCTGGAAGGACACTGCACTAGGAAGGGGCCCTCCTGTGCTTCCAGGGTTGGTGGTCAGCCAGCAGTCAGGGTGTGAGAATATCTAGTACTGCTCCGCCCCAGCCACACATCCGCAAAGCATGGTCCCTCAGCAACATCGCAGCACTTTCCGGATCACCTTCTCAAGCTGTCTGGACAGACGCTGCACTCCAGGCTTCCTGCCCACACCAGGTCCCCACTTCCTCTCTATACCAAGATGCCTGGCCACTGGCTGCATCCTGCCTGTGCACTAGTGTTTCCACCAATGTCCTCTGCACACCTGTATGCCCAGCCACAGGTTTTTTGAGACAGCGTCTCGCTCTGTCGCCCAGGCTGGAGTACAGTGGCACGATCTCGGCTCCTGCAAGCTCCGCCTCCCGACTTCACGCCATCCTCCTACCTCAGCCTCCTGAGTAGCTGAGACTACAGGAGCCTGCCATCACGCCCAGCTAATTTTTTTTGTATTTTTAGTAGAGACGGGGTTTCACCGTGTTAGCCAGGATGGTCTCGATCTCCTGACCTTGTGATCTGCCTGCCTCGGCTTCCCAAAGTGTTGGGATTACAGGTGTGAGCCACCTCGCCCAGCCTGTGTGTTTTTTGTTTTTTTTTTTTGAGACGGAGTTTTGCTCTTGTTGCCCAGGCTGGAGTGCAATGGAGCAATACCGGCTCACTGCAACCTCTGCCTCCCAGGTTCCAGCAATTCTCCTGCCTCAGCCTCCCAAGTAGCTGGGATTACAGGCACGCACCACCATGCCCAGCTAATTTTGTAGTTTTAGTAGAGATGGGGTTTCACCATGTTGGCCAGGCTGGTCTCAAACTGGTATCGTTAGTAGAGACGGGGTTTCTCCACGTTGGTCAGGCTGATCTCGAACCCCCAACCTCAGGTGATCTGCCCACCTCGGCCTCCCAAAGTGTTAGGATTACAGGCGTGAGCCACCATGCCCGGCCTACCTTGCCATATTGACACTGTGTGTTGCAGGCCTCCTGCCTGCACCAGCACTCCCATTCACACCGTCCACCTAACACCCCAGGCTGAGAGTTGCAGCTTGCCTACGTCTTTACATCCCTTGTGGCCTCAGAGGGTTGCTTCTTGCTTGTCTGATATTATAGACCAGCTCCAACCTGGGCAAACCAACTTCTCTGCCATCCAGTGGGCTGCAACTGTATTTTTCCAACGAGGTCTGAACCCTAGCCTGAAGACAGGCTCCCTCTTCCAAGTTTGTCATTCCTTGGGTACTCTTCCTTGGCCCCAGGCTATCATAAAATTTTCTTATATCTCATATTCTTTTTCTTTTTTTTTTTTTTTTTTGACAGTCTTACTCTATCGCCCAGCTACAGTGCAGTGGTGTGATTGGCTCACTGTAGCCATGACCTCCCAGGGCTCAGGTGACTCTCCCACCTCAGCCTCCTGAGTAGCTGGGACTACAAGTGTGCACCACCATGCCCAGCTGTTTTTTTTGTTTTTTTTTTGTAGAGATGGGGTTTCACCATGTTGCCCAGGCTGGTCTCAAACTCCTGGGCTTGTGTGATCTGCCTGCCACGGCCTCCCAAAGTATTGGGATTACAGGCGTGAGCTACCATGTCCAACCATATCATATACTCCTTTATCACAGTTAAATAATTTTTTTCTTTTTCTTTTTCTTTTCTTTGGAGATGGCGTCTCACTCTGTTGCCAGGCTGGAGTGCAGTGGCAAAATCTCGGCTAACTGCAACCTCCACCTCCCAGGTTCAAGCGATTCTCCTGCCTCAGCCTCCCAAGTAGCTGGAACTACAGGTGCACACCACCACACCCAGATAATTTTTGTATTTTTATCAGAGATGGGGTTTCACCACGTTGGCCAGATAGTCTCGATTTCTTGACCTCATGATCTGCTCACCTCGGCCTCTCAAAGTGCTGGGATTACAGGCATGAGCCACTGCATCCGGCCTTTTTGTTTTGTTTTGTTTTTTGAGACAGAGTTTCGCTCTTGTTGCCCAGGCTGGAGTGCAGTGGCACGATCTGGGCTCACTGCAACCTCTGCCTCCAAGGTTCAAGGAGTTCTCCTGCCTCATCCTCCCAAGTAGCTGGGGATTACAGGCGCCTGCCACCACGCCTGGCTAATTTTTTGTATTTTTATTAGAGATGGGGTTTTGCCATGTTGGCCAGGCTGGTCTCGAACTCCTGACCCCAGCTGACCCACCAGCATTGGTATCCCCAAGTGTTGGGATTACAGGCATGAGCCCCCACACCAGGCCAATAATTCTTTATATTAAACTTTCCATGTTAAGTCTTCTGACTGGACCCAGACTGGTACAGACTTGGTATAGAAGGAATAGTCCCAGAAGATAGACCCCCTAAAGATGGGATTTCGGAACTGGCTTGGTGTTGAGCTCTGTCAATGGAAAACTGATGCTATAACCCACTGTATGCACTTGCATCACAATTCATCAAGCCTGCAGTTTACTGTGGTGAAATGGTAACTGAAACATGTGCTGTAGGAGTGACTTCTATATTTGCCAGTGTGGCAGTAATGATGACTTTATAGATGGTGGCATGGGATGGATTGTTTTGAGTGCACTTGAACATTTACAAAGAGAAAGTGATCTCAGGTCTGTTAACACTCAGCTTGAGTCATGTTCTGAGAAGCAGAAGTCTTCTCTAACAGCACCCACCCCCCCCAAAAAAAATCTTATTTCAACCGGGTGCAGTAGCTCACATCTGTAATCTCAGCGTTTTGGGAGGCAGAGGCGGGCAGATCACCTGAGGTCAGGAGTTCAAGACCAGCCTGGCCAACATGGAGAAACCTGTCTTTACTAAAAATACAAAATTAGCTGGGCGTGGTGGCGCATGCCTGTAATCCCAGCTACTCAGGAGGCTGACACAAAAGAATCGCTTGAACCCAGGAGGCAGAGGTTGCAGTGAGCCAAAATCGTGCCATTGCACTACAGTCTGGACAATAAGAGCAAAACTCCGCCTCAAAAAAAAAAAAAAAAAGAATCTTATTCCTTGTAGCCACATAGCTGCTACTGCTGAAAATCAAACACAAATTTGTGTGAGTTGTTGAATTACAACAGCTGAATTCCCCCAACACACCATTTCTCATGTGAAAATTAGGGTACTGATAGGAAACAATGAGATCCTGAAACTTGGAAGAGGGATATCTGGTTAGATCCACATGAAACTGACAATCTTGAACTCCCAGGTCATTCTGAGCTTCCCTTACCAGAGGGAAGCCTTCCTGTCTCCAAGGAGACTAGCTTTTCCTTGAAAGCCCTGCTAACCTAACTTGGGGTAGCTGTCTTAGAAGCCTCCCAATCCACGTAATGCTGCCAATAGCAAAGACAATACGTGACCCCAATATGGCACCATTCCCAGAGGAACCAGCCTACAAGTTGATTATATTAGGTCTCTTCCATTTCAGAGAGGGCAATGACTTATCCCCACTGGAACAGATACATATTCTGAATGTGGATTTGCCTTTCCTGTCTGCAATGTGTTTTCCAGCACCCACCATCTGTGGATTTACAGAATGCTCTATCCAGCATTGTGGCATTCTGCAAAGCACTGCAGCTAATCAAGGACCTCATTTCATAGCAAAGAAAGGTAGCAGTGGGCTCACAGCCATGGGATCAACTGGCCTTACCCTATACCCCATCACTCACAAGCAGCTGACCTAAATTTACTGACAACTTGGTTATAGCACCAATTGCAAGACAATGTCCTCAAAAGGGTGGGGTTCTTTCTTATAAGATGCAGCCTAGGCTTTTAATCAGAGATGATTATATGGTGTTATCTCCTCCATTTGGGGCCTAGATTCAAGAGGTGGAAGTGGGAGTGGCTCCGCTCACTATTACACCTGATAACAACCTTACAAAAATGTTGCTTCAGACAGGCATGGTGGCTCACACTTGTAATCCCAGCACTTTGAGAGGCTGAGGTGGGTGGATCACCTGAGCCCAAGAGGTCGAGGCTGCAGTGAACCAAGACTGCACCACTGCACTCCAGCCTGAG
Organism: Homo sapiens; assembly: GCF_000001405.40. NCBI lineage: Eukaryota > Metazoa > Chordata > Mammalia > Primates > Hominidae > Homo > Homo sapiens. The sequence goes on along the minus strand of NC_000020.11, from coordinate 2,848,283 downwards.
TGACAGAGTGAGACTTTGTCTCTAAAAAATTAAAATTAAAAATAAAAAATAAATAGAAGTAGAGCCCTTGTGGTGAGTGAATGCAGGCTGACTCCATATAATAGGACTGTGGGACCCCAGTTGGGTTTGGTGCCTGTGGATGTGTAGCAGTCCCAATCTGCCTGCTACGTGAACCTCATGGCAGTGCTCATCAGACTGGGTACATGTACAGAGGTGGTGAGAGGCTGGTGCACTGGAAGGTGGTTCTGCACCGTGCAGGGGTAACCAAAGGACAAAGGATCAAGGTTGCTAGGGAAAGGGCAAGAAAAAAACCGAAGCAGCTGACTGTGGCTGTACTCTAAGGTGGGCAGAGAGGGAAACATCTACAAAAGGGGGTTCTGCATGTAGACACCAAGAGAACAGAGGGCTCCATGAATGAGGATCCTGAGGAGGCTGAAGGATGGGTATAACATGGGGAGGTATTAGAGTATCGGTGCAGACAAGAGCTTATGGTAAGAGAGGGGGCGGGGCTGGGTGCGGTGGCTCACGCCTGTAATCCTAGCACTTCCGGAGGCCGAGACAGGCGGATCATGAGGTCAGGAGATCAAGACCATCCTTACCAACATGGTGAAACCTCGTCTCTACTAAAAATACAAAAATTAGCTGGGTGTGGTGGCGCATGCCTGTAATCCCAGCTACTCGGGAGGCTGAGGCAGGAGATTTGCTTGAACCCGGAAGGCAGAGGTTGCAGTGAGCCGAGATCATGCCATTGCACTCCAGCCTGGCGACAGAGCAAGAGTCCGTCTTAAAAAAAAAAAAAAAATAGAGGGGGCGGTTTGATTTTAGCATTTCAGAGGTAGAGCAGTTCTGGATGAGCACAAGGGTGGGATGGGATCCAGGGAGGGGGTGGGTGAGATGGATAAAATCACTTGAGTAGAGGTCATAGAACCATGAAGCCAGGTGGCCACTTAAGTCTCCCTAGAAGGTGGCAAGAGCTGGGATGCCTAGGAGGCCGTGGGCTAAAACAACAATCAGGGAGCAGTGCAGTTGGTCAAGGATGTCTGCAGCGACAAAGACCAGGTGGGAAGGAGACACAATGGACCCCCTAAAGGGGTACAAAAGTAAAGGTCAGGGAGTGAAGAGCAATAACGTATGGACCACCTCCTGAAGCCTTAGAGGTAAAGTGGGCTTCTAGAGGACAGTGAGGTGACTCAAACTGTGCCTGGAGGGTAGCACAGGGTATGGATGGGCAGAGTGAAGAGCAGCTTCTCAGAAAAGCCTAAGGGTGAGGACTCTGTGAAGAGAGGCCACACACTTAGTGAGGAAGGCCAGCCCCATCTTTCTGCTCCACTCCTACGTCCCAGAAGTGGAAATCTCAGCAGCAGTAAATGGACCTTGGAATCGAATCGAATACCAGGAAATCGTTAAACCTAAGGATGTAGTGAGGTACCGGTAGCCTCAATTGCAGTCCCCTGCTGGAAACAGTGAAGAAATTTCTGTGGCAGGGCAGCTGAACTGCTGGAGAAGCATGGTCTACTGGGGTGTGAGAAGACCCTTGAGTGAAAATAGATGATCTCCAGCCTGTCCAAGCTAAGATATCAGACCACTAGGGAGGAAGATGCATGTTAGGTATAATCTGGTTGCCTTGGGGTATAATCCAGTAATTCCCAAATCCCAGGCCCTAAAGAGAGTTCACTGTCACTCCTGAAATCCCTTGTTTCCAGCCTGTCTCAAAAACATATACTACTAAAGAACTCCTGGGCATTGTTGCTGGGAATGTAAAATGGTACATCAGCTGCTATGGAAAAAAGTAAACATAGAATTACCATATGATCTAGCAATTCCACTTCTGGATATATACCCAAAATAATTAAAAGCGGAGTACAGAGGCCGGGTGCAATGGCTTATGCCTGTAATCCCAGCACTTTGGGAGGCCGAGGCAGGCAGATCACCTGAGGTCAGGAGTTCGAAAGCAGCCTGGCCAACATGGTGAAACCCCATTTCTACTAAAAATACAAAAATTAGCCAGGCACAGTGGTGGGTGCCTGTAATCCCAGCTACTTAGGAGGCTGAGGCAGGAGAATCACTTGAACCCGGGAGGCAGATGTTGCAGTGAGCTGAGATCGCGCCACTGCACTCCAGCCTGGGCGACAGAGCGAGACTCCATCTCAAAAAAAAAAAAAAAAAAAAAAGCGGAGTACAGAAAATATTGAATAGATATTTGTAGACCCACATTCACAGCAGATTATTCACAATAGCCAAGGGCTACCAGCAACCCAAGTGTCCATGGAAAGATGAAATGGATAAGCAAAATGTGGTAGATGCATACAATGGCATATTATTCAGCCTCGAAAAGGAAGAAAATTCTGACACATGCTATAACATGGATAAATCTTGAAGATATTATGCTAAGTGAAATAAGCCAGTCACAGGAAGTAAGTGCTATATGACTCCACTTACATAAGGAGTCTAGGGTAGTCAAATTCTGAGACAGAAAACAGAATGGTGGTTGCCATGGGCTGGGGGGAGGAGGAAATGGGGAGTTGTTTGAGGGTACAGAATTTCAGTTTTGCAAGATGAAAAAGTCCTGGAGACTGGTTGCACAACAACGTGAATATACTTAACACTATTAAAGGGTACACTCAAAAATGGTTAAGAGAGTAAATTTTATATCATGTATATTTAACCACAATTTTTTAAAATGTTCTTTTTTTTTTTCAGCCTCCCAAGTTGCTGGGATTACATGTGCGTGCCACTACACACAGCTGACTTTTTTGAAAAAAAAGTTCATGTTTATGTATCAAAAAAACAAAATGAAACAAAAATATAACTACTTAAATAGTTGCCCTCCCTTCTAAAAATAATTTCAGGAGTATATAATGTATCTTAACTCTCCTTTCTTTTACCATAAGATGCTTCTTAGTACCTGAAACTCAATGTATCTAGAACCAAGCTCACCTCCTTCCCTGCCAAACTCACGCTTCCTTTCTCATGATTTTATTTAAGCCCCAAATCCAAGTCATCCTTGATTCCTTGCTCTCCTTCCTCCCCACCAAGTGCAGTCATTACGAATTTCTTCCACTTTACTTCTAAATCTCTGAGACTGGCCCCTTCTCTCCACCTCCACCATCACCACCCCAGTACTGGCCATCCTCAACTTTTTCCTGTTCTGTTCCATCAGGCTCCTAACCATCTCCCTTGCTTCCATTTTGCTTGTTCCTTCCAACTTTTCCCCAGCATTGCCTACAAAAGGAACTTAAAACACACACACACACACACACACACACACACACACACCCCTTGCAAATCCAATTACATCAACCTTTTGTTAAGATCCTTTAATTGAGGCTTCCCATCGTTCTTCAGATAACGGTGATCTACACGTCCCTGCAGCGTGTGACCCCTACACGAAGGGCATCAACTTCATCCATGTCCTGTTCTTGTTGCCTACAGCACTCCAGCCACACTGGCTCTCTTTAGGTCACTGTGCATGCCTCAGTCCTTCCTGCCTCAAGACTTTTGTGTATATGCTCTTCTCCACCTCCATCCCACTTCATGCACCTACATCTACTCATCCCCTGGATAGGGTATTATTACTTCTTTCAGAGTGTCTTCTCTACCTTTGACTCCTGGAGTCTGTAACATGTTCTCTTAGGTTATTTGCTACTATACCTCTCTTTATAGTGATTATGATCAAACAAATACTGAGTGATTATCAACTGTCTCGCCTGCTGGCTGTAAGCTCTATGATGGCAGGCAGAACTCTTCCACATCTGTTTTATCATACTGGCTCAGCCTGCCAAAGGGATGGGACAAATTAATTAATTAGATTAGCCCAAGTTGCATTTTTAGGATTAAAAAAATAGCTTAACTTCTGGAGTCCCATAAGAACTGGTCACCGTTTCTCCTCCTTGCCTTCCCAAATTGAGTGGGTTCTCCAGAATACTACTCCCAATACAAAAGAATCCTGTCAGGCAGATAGGACTTGAAATGTAATGTCTGCCACCTGTTTTATCATTCATTCACTGACTCAGACATGTATCAAGTCCTGCCTATGCATAAAGCTATGCACACATATGAACAAAACTAAGTACTTGCTCTTAAAGCATTTCCATTCTGGTGGAAAAGGTGAAACATGCTCTTATATTTTCCTGTTAACCTGCCCGCCCCCAAAACCCTATTTTTTAACAGAGGTCTAGAACCTGTTTGGGTTCAAAGCCTGACTCCACTACTCAATAGCTGTGTAACCTGGTCACTAGTTGTATAACCTGGCCTCTCTGTGCCTCGGCTTCCTCATCAGTAAGATGGTACCTACCTCATGGGATTGTAAGGCTTAAGCAAGTTAAAACACATAAAGTACTTAGCATGTTTAGTACATAAGAAAGGCTCAATAGCTGTTAGCAACTTAAAACATAAATATCCTCCCCAGCAAGCCTTAGACCCCTAATCCTTTCTGGCAGTACAGCACAGGTAAGAGTAGATTAATCATTCAGATTGTGTCTGTGGCATGCACCCAACACATACATTCTTTTAAAACCTTATTAACATGTCAACAAAGCAAAGACTACATCTGACAAATAAGAGCTCTGTGGTAATGAGGTCAATGTCTGCAGTACTCTTTGATTTAATAAGCCTGGGTAGGCAACAGGTATCTTCAAAATAATACAAGTAAAGTTGATATTTTAAAAGTGAATGTTGTATCAACTAGCTGGTGTGTAAATACTAAATGACATGGCTACCTTGGTCAGCTGAAATTCCTTCTCCACAGAAACAAGTTGAAATCATTTCCTACTGCATTTATGGATTTTTAATGAAGTTTTTGCAATTTTTTCATACTGCACAGGCATATTTCTTTTCTTTTTTTTTTTTCCCCAAGATGGAGTCTTGCTCTGTTGCCCAGGCTGGAGTACAGTGGTGCGATCTTGGCTCACCGCAACCTCCGCCTCCCAGGTTCAAGCAATTCTCCTGCCTCAGCTTCCCGAGTAGCTGGGATTATAGGTGTGTGCCACCACGCCCGGCAAATTTTTGTATTTCTAGTAGAGACGGGGTTTCATCATGTTGGCCAGGCTGATCTCGAACTCTTGACCTCGTGATCTGCCTGCCTCAGCCTCCCAAAGTGCTGGGATTACAGGCGTGAGCCACCACGCTCGGCCAATTGCACAGGCATATTTCTAAGAGAGAATTATAAATAAACAACAAATGCAACAGGTCTCTAAAAACTGCCACAGGGCACTTGTCCATCTAGGAAGTATATCACATTAGGTACCAAAAATTACATTTAAAAGTTTTAATATGTCAGTGAGAATGGTATACAGTTTCATTAGCACAAACAAATGTCTTCTATTTAAGTAAGACCCCCATGCAATGTCTTTGTGATCTTTACTTGCAATCCATAACATATATCTATCTATCTATCGATAGATACATCTATCTATCTATCGATAGATACATCTATCTATCGATAGATACATCTATATGTCTATCTATAGATAGATACATCTATATGTCTATCTATAGATAGATACATCTATATGTCTATCTATAGATAGATACATCTATATGTATCTATAGATAGATACATCCATATGTCTATCTATATATAGATACATCTAGATGTATCTATATATATATAGATACATCTATATATCTATCTATATCTATCTATCTATAGATAGATATAGATAGATATATCTATATATAGACGGAGTCTCACTCTGTTGCCTGGACTAGAATGCAATGACGCTATCTTGGCTCACTGCAACCTCCGCCTCCCAGGTTCAAGCGATTCTCCTGCCTCAGCCTCCCAAGTAGCTGGGATTACAAGCACCTGCCATTATGCCTGGCTAATTTTTGTAGAGACAGGGTTTGACCATGTTGGTTAGGCTGGTCTCAAACTCCTGGCCTCAGGTGATTCACCCACCTTGGCCTCCCAAAGTGCTGGGATTACAGGCATGAGCCACTGCGCCTGGCCTAAAATAATATTTTTAATTTTTCAGAGGGAGTATGCTATGTTGCCCAGGCTGGAGTGCAGTGGTTATTCACAGGTTCTAACATCGGTCCCTACACCCTCAAACTTCTGGGCTCCAGTGATCCTCCTAACTCAGCCTCTCCAGTACCTGGGACTATAGGAACATGCCACAAAGCTCGGCCCAGTAAAATATTTTTAAAAAACTTTAATGGGCAATTATTACATAGCAAGCACTGTTCTAAATATGCACTGGTGATAAAGAGAAGCAAGAAACATGCTTTTGGCCGGGCTCAGTGGTTCACGCCTGTAATCCCAGTACTTTGGGAGGCCAAGGTGGATAGATTGCTTAAGGTCAGAAGTTCAAGACCAGCCTGGCCACCATGGTGAAACCTCACCTCTAGCAAAAAATACAAAAATTAGCCGGGCGTGGTGACAGGGGCCTGCAGTCTCAGCCACTCGGGAGGCTGAGGCAGGAGAATCCCTTGAACCCGGGAGGCGGAGGTTGCAGTGAGCCGAGTGCCCCTGCACTCCAGCCTGGGCAACAGAGGAAGACTCTGTCAAAAAAAAAAAAAATGCTTTCAGCCCTGAAGGAGCCTGGTTTAGCAGAAGAAACCTATACAAATGTCGCCTAAATATACAAATAGACCATACCTAAAAGACCCTAGCACTGGGCCCAGTGAGGCCCACAGGATTCTATTGGGGGAGAATCAGGCACAGTTCCAGAAAGAACCCTTGAACTACTAAGTCCTGAAGGATGCGCAAAATTCTTCAGTGAGATAAAGAGAGAAATGGCAGTATCCACAGAAACTGCAGACTGGTTAGGGCCTTGTAATTCTGCGCAGCTGGAACGCAAGATTTGGGTAGGAGAGCGGTAGATGAGGTTGGAGAGACAAACGGGCTGCCTTACAGATAGACGTTCCACGAGAAGTTCGTAGTTTTTCCTATTAGGGAAGCTATGGGAAAATCCTAATCTGGGTAACGATGTAACGGGTTTACACTTTAGAAAAATCCGTGGTTTAGGACTCTACAACTCCCATGGGCGGGCTGCCCTAACCCAGGGGTTCCCACTTCCGCTGTTCCGGGATTCACGGACGACTCGCCCCCTTTTCCCAGCCTTGGTCAGCACTGTTACCCCGCCCGCCGTGCGATCCCGCCCCCCTCGGAGCGCCCCTGTGGTCTGACTTCAGCAGCACTTTCCGGCAGGAGACTGGGCACTCGCTGTCACCCGCGAGCTGCCTCCCTCAGCGAGATCTGAGCATCTTTCCGGAGGCTAACAGACCTGGGCTTCGGGGTGACCACTGTGCTTGCCTCAGTTTCCTTTTCTGGAGCAGGGGAAGGCCCGGCTCCCTGCCCAAAGGCGGCTGTGCGCTAAGTGGCAGACGCTCGGGGAGAGCCGGCGCGGGGCGGACCCCAGCGCCAGTAGTGACAGGGGCGAACGCCGCCGGGAGACTCCAGCCGGCGGGCGAGCAGGGTAAGCCAGGCCGTGGGCGGGAGGGCGGGGCAGCTCACCGGTAAAAGGCAGAGTCCCCGAGTGGGTTCCAGTTCGCCGTGTAGCAGTCCATGGCTGGTGCAGACGGCAGCTGGGAAGCACCGAGGGGACACCCACCTAGAGCGGGCTCCAGGCCGGCACTTCCGCTTCCGCCCGTCCGGGTCACGTGGCGAGGCCGCCGCCGCGGCCATCACCACTGTGGGCAGCCTCACTTGGCTGCCGCCCCGAGACCCCAGCCCGTACCTGGGCTTCGCGCCCGCCAAGTGGGCCCAGCCCTGGCTCCTGCGCCCTGTGGCGGCCACCTCCATCGCCTTGCTTTCCCTTCGGGCACTGGGGGTCGCTCAGGGCGGGACATGGGTGAACGGAAGTGGAAGCTGTGAGCGTCGCAGCCCGAGGCGCCGAGGCCTGAGGCGCCGTCGGGGCCACAGCGACGCTCGCATGGAGAGCGCTGGGCGCTGGGCTGTGCACCGACGGCTAACCTGGACCCACGGTCTCTGCGGGGCGGGAGCTTTGCAGAACCGACTGGCCGACTGGGGCGCGGGAACATGAGGCTTGGCTAGGAGCCCGCTGCGGGCCAGGCGCGCGGTGCGCAGGCATACCCGGGTCGCGGGTGAACACCGCGGAGCCCCGGGACTTGGTAATTGGCGCGAGCGGGTGCGCGCATGCGCGGGACGGCGGCGGGCACGTGGCGAGGCGCAGGGCGGCGCCGCGCGGGAAGCTCCCCAGTGCCCTGGAGGCCTGCTGGCTGGACGACCCCCTGCCTCTGGTACCAAGTGTGACCAAGGCTGGCGCCACCATGGCTCTGCTGCCGTCACCTCCTCCCTTTAGCATTGAGCAGCCCCGGAGGGGCTAGCCCTGAGGCTGACCTGCCCAGAGTCCCCACCATCGCGCTGCTTAGTGGCCTCTCCCTGCAGCCTGTCGTTGCTGGTGGCGGCATGGTCTTCTGTCTGTCGAGCGAGGAGCCGCGCCGCCCGCTGCGAAGCGACATGGTCCACTTCCAGGCCTCGGAAGTCCAGCAGCTGCTACACAACAAGTTCGTGGTCATCTTGGGGGACTCCAGTGAGTGCCTCTTCTAGGGTGACGCTTCCAGTCCCACACCTTGCAGCCCGTTCAGTGTGTCTGGACCATTTGTTTCCATCTCACATCTCTTGTCTGTCTTCTGGTCTGTTCCGTCCAGTAGGTTTTCTCTTTTTATGTCCCACACATCTTCCACAGGAGTCCTGACAGGTGTAATAACCTGTGCACTTTTTAGCCCATCCTTGCTCAGCATTTCTCGCCCTGACAGCTCCCCATAATTTCCATCACGAAAGCGTTGCATTGTGTAGTGTGTCTCCTGGGTGACTTGGCCGACTTAATTTCTGCCAGGTGATCTTGGGTCACTGTATACTGCTGGCCAGGAGGCACACAGAACAGAGGCAATGCCAGGACTTTTTAACCTCATCTTTTCTCCTGCGTCTAAGTCAACCACAGAGCTGGTGTCGGGCACCTCAGCCCTGGGAAAATGGGGTCCTGGACTTGGAAGGAGCTGGGGCAGGCTGAGGTCTGCCTCAGCCTTGGGATCTCTGTCTCCTCCCAGTTCAGAGGGCTGTGTACAAGGACCTGGTGCTCTTGCTCCAGAAAGACTCACTGCTCACAGCTGCCCAGCTGAAAGCCAAGGTGAGGGAAGCTTGGTGGCCATGTCAGTGGTGGGTGGGCACAGACCCTGGCCTGGCAGGGTTCTCCTCCCTGGCATGGGTCTGACCAGTAGGGTGGGGGGGGTGGGTAGGGGGAGCTGAGCTTTGAACAGGACCAGCTGGTGGCTGGGGGCCAGCTGGGCGAGCTGCACAACGGGACACAGTATCGTGAGGTCCGCCAGTTCTGCTCGGGCTCTGGCCACCACCTTGTGCGCTTCTACTTCCTCACTCGTGTTTACTCCGAGTACCTTGAGGATGTTCTGGAAGAGCTGACATATGGACCTGCCCCGGACCTGGTGATCATCAACTCCTGCCTCTGGGATCTCTCCAGGTTGGGGCGAGGGAAAGGGGAATACTGGTTGGGGCTGGAAGTACGGCTGAGGCAGTCCACCCTTGTGCTCTTGCCCACCCTGTGTGTTATCCAACAGATATGGTCGCTGCTCAATGGAGAGCTACCGGGAGAACCTGGAGCGGGTGTTTGTGCGCATGGACCAAGTATTGCCAGACTCCTGCCTGCTGGTGTGGAACATGGCGATGCCCCTCGGGGAACGTATCACTGGGGGTTTCCTCCTGCCAGAGGCAAGTGACTGAGGCCCATCAGGACAAGAGATGGGATAGCAGACTGGTAGATAGGACACCCTGCTTTCAGACCCTGCTGCGTTCTGTGGCTCTTAGAGGCTGCACTTTCTCACTTAGCTCCAGCCCCTGGCAGGCTCCCTGCGGCGGGATGTGGTTGAAGGGAACTTCTACAGTGCTACGCTGGCCGGGGACCACTGCTTTGATGTCCTAGACCTCCACTTTCACTTCCGGCATGCAGTACAGCACCGTCATCGGGATGGTGTCCACTGGGACCAGCATGCACACCGCCACCTCTCACACCTGCTTCTGACCCATGTGGCTGACGCCTGGGGCGTGGAGCTGCCCAAGCGTGGCTATCCCCCTGGTGAGCCCTACCATAAGTGGGGGGGTAGTGATGCACTGGGGCCCTCAGAGGACAGGGCTCAGAAACAGAATGGGACACAGCCACTCAAGGGAAGTAGAGGTCCCTTGAAGGACTCCTGTGGCTTCTGCATGCACCTTCCTCAACCCCTGAGGAGGGTTAGATCATCGGAGCAATATTCTTGTCCAAGTTCCAGTTTTCTACAGTCTGGCTGTGTAGTCATTTCTGTGTGCTTGAAGGAGCTTGTACAAGTATTGACCACATAAGGCAGCATGTTGCAAGGGTCCTACCCAACAGATTAACAGGAAAGAAATGGGGCATGGGTGTGAGGAGTGGAAAGACAGGGAGGAAGGGCCATCCAGGCAGTGTGGCAGAAGCAAAGAAGCCCACAGCTGGGGGGTGGGGGTACAGTCAACTGGCAGGGTGTGGAACAGGGATGTTGCATCGGGAAGGCCAGCCTTATGGACTTGGGCTCAATGGACAGTGTTCCATAGGCTTCTTAGTTCAGCCTCAGAGTCCCACTGTGACTGGTGCAGCTTGGTGTAGCTCTCCTCGGGCCCCATCTCTGGGCCTTTGGTGGAGGCTTCTGAGGGCCCCACTCCCCCTTGTTTTGAGGCACTGCTCCCCATCACATCTCAACTGTAACACTCTGCTGCAGAACCTCTGTTTCCATGTCAACACCCTAGTCCCTGCATGCACACAAAGAGGGCACCATGGCTGATTGTCTCCATGGCTGCTTCTCCCCTGCATCGTGTCCTTAAAGGGCAAGTTTCCTGCTGCACTTGTTGACGACTCACCCCTTTCAGCCCCAGTGTCTAGCACAATTTCCCTGTACACAGTATCAACAGAATTGTATTTGTTGAATGGGAGGCACGAGTCATGTTAGAAGGCCGATTATGGCAGCACAAGAGGATGTGGGGGCACAGAGAGTCCAGGAATATCATAGAGACAGACCTGTAACACTTGGTAGCCAGGAGTTGGAGCATCAGGGAGGTGAATACAGATTTTGGTTAAACATCCCCATTTTCTTGTTTAGATGTAATAATTGATCCCCAGCAAATGATGGGATGCCCTGAAGGTTGTAAGGCTAGTTTTGATGGCTTAGGCCTTTGAAATCCAATTTGGAGCTACAGAAGTTAGGGCCATGAAAAGGGAGAGTTGATTTGGGGTGGAAGGATGAGTTGGTGAGTTTGGTCACAGCAGATTGATTTGAGGTTCTTTGGAAATACAGAGTAGATTTGCAGTCATTGGTACCCAGCAGAGAGATTAAAACTGAGGGCACAGTGGCAGCTGTGAGGGAGACAGAACGATGCTCATGCTTTGGATTGGCAGGAAAGAGGGGCTATGGCGGAAACAAAAGGAGATGAGGGCAGGGGCACTTTTAGGAAGGACTGAGGCTGCTGGCAGTGTCACATGACTGTTGAGAAGAAGGGAATTTGTTAGCAAGTGGTTACATTTAGTAGGAAAAGTGTTGAGGGCATGGGTTTGGATTAAAGGAGGGAGTGAGCAATTGAGGAGGAAGTGGAAATTGGGCAAAACATTCCTTTTGGAAGTTTGGATGGTAAAAGGAAGTTGTTGGGGAAGGGAATAACAGGATCTTTATGTTTGGCTTATTTACTGGTCTATGGGGAGGAGGTGGGCGAGGAAAAAGCTAGATACAAGACCTGGGCAAACAAAGAAGGCTCTGGAGGGAAGTGTAGGTTAGAACAAAGGTAAGTCTGAGAGGTAAGAGAGAAGGAACACACTTTGGGCTTGGCCTGAAATGAGAGGGAATGAGGAAAACTGGGTAGAGGGCAAGGATGCTCCAGCCTGGTGGCTCTGCTCTCCAAGAGGAAGGAATAGAGCTTTAGAAGTGTGGATGGCCAGAGTTCAGGGCAGCCTGGCTCCCAAGCCTACCTAAAACAACCATCCCATTCCTAGACCCGTGGATTGAGGACTGGGCAGAGATGAATCATCCATTCCAGGGAAGCCATAGGCAGACCCCAGACTTCGGGGAGCACCTGGCCTTGCTCCCACCCCCACCTTCTTCTTTGCCTCCTCCCATGCCTTTTCCCTACCCGCTTCCTCAGCCCTCGCCACCTCCCCTCTTCCCACCCCTGCCCCAGGATACCCCTTTTTTCCCAGGCCAGCCCTTCCCACCCCATGAATTCTTCAACTATAATCCAGTGGAGGACTTCTCGATGCCACCCCACTTAGGTAGGTGCTTCTGCAGCTCCCCCACCCTCTTGTACCTCCCCTTACCCAGCCTCCTATGCCTAGGTGAGCTGAGAGGAGTTGGGTAGCTCCTTGTGCCCCTAGCACTGGGTTTGGTCACAGCAGTCCCTGAGTCTGAAACATCATCTGTAGGTTCATTAATCAGCTCACTGGTTGTCACTGTTTCACCGTCTGAAGGTAGGGGAAGGACTATCCCTTTTTTGTAGATAGGGAAACAGAGAAGCTCACCTGGAGGACAAGAGTTGCTTCAAGGCAGAGCTGCACTCACTCTGGCCAGAAGCCTGCTCTTATAATGACTGGTTCTTTTGTAGGATGTGGCCCTGGAGTGAACTTTGTGCCTGGCCCTCTGCCACCTCCAATCCCTGGCCCTAATCCCCATGGTCAGCACTGGGGCCCAGTGGTCCACCGGGGGATGCCACGCTATGTTCCTAACAGCCCCTACCATGTGCGGAGAATGGGGGGGCCCTGCAGGCAGCGGCTCAGACACTCAGAGAGACTGATCCACACATACAAACTGGACAGACGGCCTCCTGCCCATTCGGGGACATGGCCTGGGTAGACTGGATCTTGGGCTGGGACTGGATGTGCCAATGGCCCTTCAGGGCCTGCCTGGCACCTCAGGTACTGGGCTAGGGTGTCTGCTATGCCTGGTATTGTTCTTGTCCATTGCTGTCACCAATAAAGGCATGGAAGAACAGAGTGACAAATTCCTGTGTGCAGTGGGTATCCCAAACCATGATCTTAAGATTGGGGGAGGTTGCCTCTGGGCTTTGTCCAACGTGGGGCCTTTGACCCCACACTATTTAGAAATCATTGAATGTGCCCTCCTGTCTCATACTTAATTCTACCCTCACCAGAACATGTGTATTTAACAGAGATCCTGGAGGGGTCCCCTATTGTCAGCACCTTGGGGAAAAATCAAGGGCTAAGTGGAAATTGTTAATATTTTGTCTGGAATTTTGGGTCTGGCTAGTTCTTACCTATACCTCCCGGTCTCATGCATTCATGTGTATATTCGTTATTCATCTACCTCCAAAGATACGAAGATGCATAAACTTATCTTGCATAATTCTTGGCACATAGTGGACACACAGTAAGTGGTTGGAATGAAACTAGAAGCTCCCAAACCCAAGTGGGAGACGTATTCGAAACTTCTTCTTTTTTTTATTTTTGAGATGGAGTCTCACTCAGGCTGGAGTTCACTCACTGCAACCTCTGTCTCCCGGGTTCAAGCAATTCTCCTGCCTCAGCCTCCCAAGTAGCTGTGACTACAGGCGCACACCACCACACCTAGCTAGTTTTTGTATTTTTAGTAGAGAAGAGATTTCACCATGTTGGCCAGGATGAGGTAGATCTCTTGACCTCGTGATGCGCCCACCTCAGCCTCCCAAAGCGCTGGGATTACAGGGGTGAGCCACTGCGCCCGGCCTCTATTCGAAACTTCTAACTTGATTGATGAGATGTGCAGTGGAAGGAAAGAGAACACAGACCAACCGCTTTGGTGCTGGTGGTGAGACAAAAAAGGAGCTGAGGGAGACAAAATCCAAGGTGGGTGCCAGGATAGGGGTGGTGGTAGAGACACTGTTTTAAGCTCCATGCAGAAGTTGAAAGCAGGGAGGTATAGGATTTCAGCTTTAACAGGTAGTCTTGATCCTAGGTTCATGACTGTACAAAGAACGTCAGTAGTGGAGTGTGAACTAAAATGTGGGGTGGTGTGAGGGATGGAGCATGGCAGTGGACTGATAAGTGATGTGAGGGCAGAAATATAAGGTAACATGAAGACCCCGTAAATAATTTTGAATTAGAATGGATAGAAGAGAAGGATGCAGAATTCTTGTATTAACTTTCCATACTTATTAATGAAATTTTACCTTGTTGAAGGACATAACATCTCACACAAAAGGAGATGGAAATAGCAGACCAGAAAAGTGTTGATCCTTGCTAGCCATCTACTAGACTAAATGCAAATGAAGGGAAGCTAATGAATCAATACACTGGTGCTGGAAACTGACACAGACAATGTGACTTAATAAAACCCTTTAGAGGAACCAAATGAGACAGTGTACAAAAGCGTCAGCACAGTTCTGAAACTTTTAAGTTCAGCTTTCTCTGGTATAAACAAAAAGGAGAAGGGACATACAAAAATGAAGGAAAGCTTCTTGTGAGATAAGATTTTTAATCATTATTTGCAACATTTGATTTTTTAAATTTATTTTTTCACTTTTTTTTAAAATATAAAAACAAGGTCTTTATATGTTGCCCAGACTGGCCTTGAACTCCTAACCTCAAGCAATCCTCCCACCTTGACTTCCCAAAGTGCTGGGACAACACATGTGAGCCACTGTGCTCAGCCCCCAAATTGATTTTTTTCTTTTCTTTAACAAAAACCCATCCTTGGGGCAGCCGTCTTCAGCTGTATCCAGTTTGCCCAACCCCTTGTCACTCTGCCTTTCCTTCTCAAAACACTTTTCTCTCTTCAGACACCTTTGTGCCTCTGATTCTGGGGCTTCCTGATATTGCTGGAGAAAACTGTACACCTGGATTGATTTGCAGGAAAAAGTAATTTGAGTGACGCAGCCTCAGTGAGATCTCTGTTGTTTTCCATCCTGTTCTCCAGGAATCCTGTCACCTTCCCTACTGAGCCAAGCCAAGCCTTTTTCACTTGCTTCAAATCCCATCCCAGTTCTGGAGCTTTCACACTAAGAAACCTGGAGACTCCTCAAATGTGCTCAATATCCCCTTCATTCTACTGCCATACATATGTATTTATATATATACATATATATATTATGTATACTATATGTATATATAAAAATATATACATATGAATATAATTTATAAATATATATATTTATTATAGAAATACATTATGTTTATATAAATATAATGTATAAAAATACATATATATACACACACATACGCATAGAGAGACAAGGTATCTGTTGTCCAGGCTGGAATGCAGTGGTGCCATCACAGCTCACTGCAACTTCCGCCTCCCAGGATTAAGTGATCCTCCCAACCTCAGCTTCCCAAATAGTTGGGACTACAGGCACACACCACCATGCCTAGCTTATTGATTGAATGATTGATTGGTAGAGATGGGGTGTCACAATGTTGCCCAGGCTTGTCACGAACTCCTGGGCTTAAGTGATCTGCCTGCCTCAGCCTCCCAAAGTGCTAGGATTATAGGTGTGAGCCACCATGCTTGGCCCTACCTCCATATTTTTAATTTCCAACCCATTTTTCTATGTGGCTGGCATGGCCCACGGTGAGGTTTCATAACCTTTACTGCAATGTCCCAACACCTTTGTCCTTAAAACTTTCTTACATTCCTTTAAAATTTATGGAAATAGCTTAATCTCTTTAAACTTGAAATTTATCATAAGAATAGAATAAAGGGGCCGGGCGTGGTGGCTCATGCCTGTAATCCCAGCACTTTGGGAGGCCGAGGCAGGCAGATCATGAGGTCAGGAGTTCGAGACCATCCTGGCTAACACGTGAAACCCCGTCTCTACTAAAAATACAAAAAATTAGCCAGGTGTGGTGGCGGGCGCCTGTAGTCCCAGCTATTCAGGAGGCTAAGGCAGGAGAATGGCGTGAACCCGGGAGGCGGAGCTTGCAGTGAGCCAAGATCGCACTGCTGCACTCCAGCCTGGGCAACAGAAGTGAGACTCCGTCTCAAAAAAAAAAAAGAATAGAATAAAGGAGGTAAATGTTTCTCAGTTTGTTGTCATATAAGCATATGGTACAAAAAGCTTAAAAATTTGACTCATCTGTTGTAGATTTTATTCAGTCCCGACTGGGAAGCAAGAAACTTACAAATAGCCTTATATGAGTCATCACTTATATGAGTCATCACTTACATTTAAATCGTTTCCCTTTTTTTTCCTTTTTTTTTTTTTGAGATGTGAAAATAATGGAAATCTTAAGTTGCCCTGGTATGTAGGCCCACTATTTGCTAGTTAAGCAAGAGAGAACTCAAACTTCATTGTCTCAAAAACCATTCACATTTGACCATTGACAGATCATTTAAGAAGACAATCTTACATTGACTTCCTCTCATTCATGGAATTGGTTTTAAAGAATGGACTCTGTGTCCATTCATTTGCCATACCAAGGTATTCCTGAAAGGAGTAAAAGATGCATGAGCACTTCAGTTGTGATGTCAGCACTTATTTTCCAGGAAAAAAAAAATTCTCTTTAAGAAAAGTAAAACTTCAGCCAGGCGCAGTGGCTCACCCCTGTAGGCCAAGGCGGGCAGATCACTTGAGGTCAGGAGTTTGCGACCAGCCCAACCAACATGGTGAAACCCCGTCTCTACTAAAGATACAAAAATTAGCCAGATGTGATGGCGCATACCTGTAATGCCAAGCTACTCGGGAGGCTGAGGTAGAAGAATCGCTTGAGCCGGGAGGCAGAGGTTGCAGTGAGCCAATATCATGGCGCTACACTCCAGTCTGGGCAACAAGAGCGAAACTCTGTCTCAGAAAAAAAAAAAAAAAAAAAAAAAAGCCAGGCATGGTGGTTCATGCCTGTAATCCCAGCTACTTGGAAGGCTGAGGTAGGAAAATCACATGAGCCAGGGAGGCAGAGGTTGCAGTGAGCTGAGACCACGCCACTGCACTGCACTCCAGCCTGGACAACAAGAGCAAAACTCCGTCTCAAAAGAAAAAAAAAAACCCCAAGAACAACAAAAAAAATTAGCCAGGCGTGGTGGCGCATGTCTGTAATCCTAGCTACTCAGGAGGCTGAGGCAGGAGAACTGCTTGAATCTGGGAGACAGAGGTTGCAGTGAGCCAAGATCGTGCCACTGCACCCCAGCCTGGGCAACAGAGCAAGATTCCATCTCAAAAAAAAAAAAAAGTAAAACTTGGCCAGGCGCAGTGGCTCACACCTGTAATCCCAGCACTTTGGGAGCCTGAGGCAGGTGGATCACTTGAGGTCAGGAGTTTGAGACCATCCTGGCCAACATGATGAAACCCTGTCTCTACTAAAAATACAAAAATTATCCGGGTGTGGTGGCACACACCTGTAATCCCAGCTACTTGGGAGGCTGAGGCAGGAGAATCACTTGAGCCCGGATGATGGAGGCTGCAGTGAGCCAAGATCACGCCCCTGCACTCCAGTCTGGACGACAAGAGTGAAACTCCATCTCAAAATAATAATAATAATAATATTAATAATAATAATATCGGAAGTTTCCCAGCAAAAGTAGATAACTTGCCTTCTGTTGCATTACCCAGTTCCCTGCCTAGGTTCTGTGTTCAGTACAGTATTGAAGTATATCTAAACAGGTACATCAGTGAAAGATAAACTCTGATTGCAAGGAAATGAGCCTATTCTTTAAAAAAAAAAAAAACCTGCTTGGGCCAGGCATGGTGGCTCACACCTGTAATCCCAGCACTTTGGGAGGCTGAGGCAGGCGGATCATGGGGTCAGGAGATTGAGACCATCCTGGCTAACGCAGTGAAACCCTGTCTCTAGTAAAAAATACAAAAAATTAGCCAGGCGTGGTGGTGGGCACCTGTAATAGTCCCAGCTACTCGGGAGGCTGAGGCAGGAGAATGGGGTGAACCCAGGAGGCGGAGCTTGCAGTGAACCAAGATTGCACCACTGCACTCCAGCCTGGGTGACAGAGCGAGACTCCTCTCAAAAAACAAAACAAAACAAAACAAAGCAAAACCTGCTCAGCCAGATGTGGTGGCTGACACCTGTAAACTCAGCGCTTTGGAAGGCTGAAGTGGGCGGATCACTTGAAGGCAGAAGTTTGAGACCAGTCTGGGCAACAAAGTGACACCTCTCCCCACCTTCGACTCTACAAAAAATAAAAAATTCTCTAGATGTAGTGGTGGATGCCTATAGTCCCAGCTACATGGGAGGCTGAAACAGGAGGATCACTTAGGAGGACCACTTGAGCCCAGAAGTTTGAGGCTGTGGTGACCCATGATTCCACCACTGCACTCCAGCCTGGGTGACAAAATGAGACCCTGTCTCTAAAAAACAAAACAAAAACCTTTTTTACTGAAGTGGGATTGACATGTAATAGACTTCACATACAAGTAGATATATATATACATCTATGAAATCATCACAATTAAGATAATGAAATTTATTCTTCTACCTCTTTATAATTCCTCCCTCTCATTCCTCCCCATAGCTTCCTCATATCCCCCTGCTCCTGTCCCCAAGCAATCATGGGTACTTACTGCTTTCTGTTACTATAGATCAGTTTGTATTTTCTAGAATTTTATATGGATGGAATCTTTCAATAGATACTTTTTTCTTTCTTTATTATTATTATTATTATTATTTTACTTTAAGTTCCAGGATACAAGTGCAGAACATACAGGCTTGTTACCTAGGTATACGTGCACCACGGTGGTTTGCTATACCTATCAACTGGTCATCTAGGTGTTGAGCCCCGCACGCATTAGCTATTTGTCCTAATGCTCTCCTTCCCCTCGCCACCCACCTCCTGACTGGCCCTGGTGTGTGTTGTTTGCCTCCTGGTGTCCATGTGTTCTCATTGTTCAACTCCTGCTTATGGATACTCTTTTTTTCATCTGGCGTCTTTCACTCATCCTAATGAATGGGATTAATGGAACAACTGGAAATTCATCCATGTTGTATCAACAATTTATTCCTTTTTATAGCTGACTAGTATTCAGTTGTAATGATATATCAACATTTCTCCATTCACCTATTGATGGACATTTGAGTTATCTTCAGCTTCTGACTATTATAAGTAAAGCTGCTATGAACATTTATATACAAGTCTTTGTATGGATATATGTTTTCATTTTTACCTAAGAATGAAATGGCTAGATTATATGGTAGGTGTATGTTTAACATTTTAAGAAACTGCCAAACAATTTTTCAAAAGTAGTTGTACAATTTTACATTCCCACCAACAATGAGAGTTGCAATTCCTCCACATCCTTGCCAGTACTTGGTATGATCAGTCTTTTTAATATTAGCCATTCCAATAGATGGGTAGTGGTATCTCCATTATGGTTTTAGTTCACATTTTTCTAATAACCAATTATGTTGAACACCTTTTCATATGCTTATTTTTCACCTATATATCTTCTTCTGTTAAGTAGGTTTTCACATTTTTCTCTCTCTTTCCCTCTATCCCCCTTTTTACATATTGGACTTTGAGAGTTCTTTATTCTGGATACAAGTATTTTATCAGATATGATCTGAAAATACTTTCTTCCAATCTGTGGCTTGTCTTCTTTTTTTCTTAACAGTGTCTTTTCAAGAACAGAAGTTTTTAATTTTGATAAAGTACAGTTAATCAAGTTTTTCTTTTATGGATTGTGCTTTTGGTGTCATATCTAAGAAATATTTTCCTAATGCAAGGTTACAACTATTTGTTTTCTATGTTTTCTCTTAGAAGGGTTATAGTTTTTGGTTTTACATTTAGGTCTATGATCAAATTTGAGTTAATTTTTTGTTTATGGTGTGAAGTATAAATTGAAATTCATTTTTATGTGAATATACAATGGTTCAGCACCATTGGTTGAAGACTATTCTTTCTCCGCTAAATTACATTTGCACTTGCATTGAGACTCACTTGTTCATATATGTGTGGATCTAATTCTGGACTCTACTGTGTTCCACTGGTCTATTTGTCTGTCCTTATACCAATACCACACTCTTTTGATTGTACCTTGATGAAATCTTGACATTGGGAAGTGTTAGTCCTTCAACTTGGTTCTTTTTTTTTTTTTGAGACAGAGTTTCGCTCTTGTCTCCCAGGCTAGAGTGCAATGGTGCGATCTCGGCTCACTGCAACCTCCGCCTCCTGGGCTCAAGCGATTCTCCTGCCTCAGCCTCCTGAGTAGTTGGAATTACAGGCACACGCCACTACACCTGGCTAATTTTTGTATTTTTAGTAGAGACAGGGTTTCACCATGTTGGCCAGGCTGATCTTGGACTCCTGACCTCCTCCAAGGTGATGTGCCCGCCTCAGCCTCCTAAAGTGCTAGGATTATAGGCGTGAGCCACCGTGCCCGGCCTCAACTTTGTTCTTTATCAAAGTTATTTTGGCTATTCTAGGTCCTTTACATTTCCATATGAGTTTTAAAATCAGCTTGTTATTCCTATAAAAATGCTGCTGGGATTTTGATTGCGATTGTATTGAATATATAGATAAATTGGGGGAAATTGACATCTTAACAATATGTCTGACCTATATCTGACCCCATGCACAAAGTATATCTCTCGACTTATTTAGGTCTTTAATTTTTCTCAGCAGTACTTTGTAGTTTTCAGTGTACAGGTCTTTCACATATTTTGTCAGATTTACCCCTAAGTGCTTCATATTTTTCTATTCTTGGAAGTAGTCATTTTAAAATTTTTTCTATTCTGATTGTTCATTGCAAGTACAGAGAAATACAATTGATTTTTGTATATTGACCTTATATCACAATCATGACTGTGTACACATGTTAACTACCTTGTTAAATTCACTTCGTTTTGATAACTTTTTTATAGGTTTCTTTGAATGTTCTACATATATGATTCTTTTGTCTACCAATAAAGACAGTTTTACTTACTGCTTTCCAATCTGTATGCCTTTTATTTATATTTCTTGTGCTATTGCAGTGGCTAGGACATTTAGTACAACATTGAATAGAAGTAGTGAGAGTGGACATTCTTGTTTCTGATCTTAGGTGGAAAGTATTCAGTTTTTCCACAGTGAAGTAGCTGATACTACTACCATGATACTAGCTGCAGATTTTTCATGGATGCCTTCTGTCAAGTTGAGAATATTTCCTTTTATTCCTAGTTTGCTGAGAGCTTTTATTGGGAATAGATGTTGTATTTTGTCAAATGCCTTTTCTGCATTTATTGAAATGATCATTTGGGTTTTTTTTTTTTATAATTTGGTGGATTACATTAGTTGTTTTTTGGATGTTAAACCAAACTTGCATTCCTGGTTTTTAAAAGGAAAGAGGTTGTGCAGTTTGAAGATGATATAGTATTTCCTCTTCCTGTAAGAAATCACCCAAGCAAGTGAAAATGAGAAATAGAAATGCAAATATCATGTCTGATGAGACCTTGGAGAGCAGAAACTCCAAACAAATTAGGTGGACAGGTTGCAAAAAAGCAGTGGAAATTGATATAAATTGATATAACAACTTTGGAGATGATTGGGCAACATTTACTAAAGTTGAACATTTGCATACTTTATGACCCAACAATTCTGGTGCAAAAGAAATGAGTGACTCTGTCCACTGAAAGACTTAAAAATATTCGTAGATGTTTTATTGATAGCCAAAACCTGGAAACAATCCAAATGTTCATCAACAAGAGAACGGATAAATTATTGTATTTTCGTACGATGGAATTGTACACACTAATAAAAAAAGAAAAAGAACAAACTGGCCAGCCACCATGGCTCACACTTGTAACCCAAGCACTTTGGGAAGCCAAGGCAGGTGGATTGCTTGAGTCCAGGGGTTTGAGACCAGCCTGGGCAACATGGCAAAACTCTGTTTCTACAATAACAACAAGAAAAAAATACAAAAAGTTAGCTGGGCATGGTGATGGGTGCCTGTAGTCCCAGCTACTTGGGAGACTGAGGCTGGAGAATCGCTTGAATTCAGGAGGCAGAGGTTGCAGTGACCTGAGATCATGCCACTGCACTCCAGCCTGGGCGACAGAGAGAGACTCCATCTCAAACAAAACAAAACAACCATAAAACCAGTTTAATAAAAGAAACAAGAATGTAATTCACTGAATAAACAGAATACAGTAGAATAGTTCTCATAATAGACATAGAAAAAGCAATTTTATAATTCAACATCCATTCTTGACCAAAATTGTTAGTAAACTAGGTCTTGAAAGGAATTTCTTTAACTGAATAAAAGTTAACTACCAGAAATCTACAACAATGTACATAATTCTTAATGGTGGAAACTTAGAAGCAAGCAGTTCATTTTAAATCAATATCAAGTCAAAGATATCTGTGAAGAGCAGTTCAATTTGCCATTGTCCAGGAATCCCAGCTTGCACAGTAAGATGAGGAGCACACAGGAAGAGGCCCTAACCTGATAACATCTGTCTTTTAGATTGATGTGGTCTCTTGGTTTAGAGAGGTTCATAACTTTCATACATGTTACAAATATTTTGCAAGGATACAATATCACGTATTAATTTTAAAAACTGGTATTTTGGGGGCAAGACATTTGAAGACGCAACCTGGAAAATATGACAGAACCAACAGATGTTAAATCAAGTTCTTTTTTTTTTTTTTTTTTTTTTTATTTTTATTGATCATTCTTGGGTGTTTCTCGCAGAGGGGGATTTGGCAGGGTCATAGGACAATAGTGGAGGGAAGGTCAGCAGATAAACAAGTGAACAAAGGTCTCTGGTTTTCCTAGGCAGAGGACCCTGCGGCCTTCCGCAGCGTTTGTGTCCCTGGGTACTTAAGATTAGGGAGTGGTGATGACTCTCAACGAGCATGCTGCCCTCAAGCATCTGTTCAACAAAGCACATCTTGCACCGCCCTTAATCCATCTAACCCTGAGTGGACACAGCACATGTCTCAGAGAGCACAGGGTTGGGGATAAGGTCACAGATCAACAGGATCCCAAGGCAGAAGAATTTTTCTTAGTACAGAACAAAATGAAAAGTCTCCCATGTCTACTTCTATCCACACAGACCCAGCAACCATCCGATTTCTCAATTTTTTCCCCACCCTTCCCGCCTTTCTATTCCACAAAACCGCCATTGTCATCATGGCCCATCCCCAATGAGCCGCTGGGCACACCTCCCAGACGGGGTCGTGGCCGGGCAGAGGGGCTCCTCACTTCCCAGTAGGGGCGGCCCGGCAGAAGTGCCCCTCACCTCCCAGATGGGGCGGCTGGCCGGGCGGGGGGCTGACCCCCCCACCGCCCTCCCGGACGGGGCGGCTGGCCAGGCAGAGGGGCTCCTCACTTCCCAGTAGGGGCGGCCGGGCAGAGGCGCCCCTCACCTCCTGGATAGGGCGGCTGGCCGGGCGGGGGGCTGTTCCCCCCACCTCCCTCCCGGACAGGGCGGCTGGCCGGGCAGAGGGGTCCTCACTTCCCAGTAGGGGCGGCCGGGCAGAGGCGCCCCTCACCTCCCGGACGGGGCGGCTGGCCAGGCAGGGGGCTGATCCCCCCACCTCCCTCCCGGACGGGGCGGCTGGCCGGGCGGGGTGCTGACCCCCCCCACCTCCCTCCCGGACGGGGCGGCTGGCCGGGCAGAGGTTTCCTCACTTCCCAGTAGGGGCGGCCGGGCAGAGGCGCCCCTCACCTCCCGGACGGGGCGGCTGGCCAGGCAGGGGGCTGATCCCCCCACCTCCCTCCCGGACGGGGCGGCTGGCCGGGCGGGGTGCTGACCCCCCCCACCTCCCTCCCGGACGGGGCGGCTGGCCGGGCAGAGGGGTCCTCACTTCCCAGTAGGGGCGGCCGGGCAGAGGCGCCCCTCACCTCCCGGACGGGGCGGCTGGCCAGGCAGGGGGCTGACCCCCCCCACCTCCCTCCCGGACGGGGCGGCTGGCCGGGCAGGGGGCTGACCCCCCCTCCCCCCTCCCGGACGAGGCGGCTGGCCGGGCGGGGGGCTGACCCCCCCACCTCCCTCCCGGATGGGGCGGCTGGCCAGGCGGGGGGCTGACCCCCCCACCTCCCTCCTGGGCGGGGCGGCTGGCCGGGCAGAGGGGCTCCTCACTTCCCAGTAGGGGCGGCCGGGCAGAGGCGCCCCTCACCTCCCGGACGGGGCGGCTGGCCAGGCGGGGGGCTGACCCCCCACCTCCCTCCCGGACTGGGCGGCTGGCCGGGCGGGGGGTTGACCCCCCCACCTCCCTCCTGGACGGGGCGACTGGCCGGGCAGAGGGGTCCTCACTTCCCAGTAGGGGCGGCCGGGCAGAGGCGCCCCTCACCTCCCGGACGGGGCGGCCGGCCGGGCGGGGGGCTGACCCCCCCACCTCCCTCCCGGACGGGGCGGCTGGCCGGGCAGAGGGGCTCCTCACTTCCCAGTAGGGGCGGCCGGGCAGAGGAGCCCCTCACCTCCCGGACGGGGCGGCTGGCCGGGCGGGGGGCTGACCCCCCCCACCTCCCTCCCGGACGGGGTGGCTGCCGGGCGGAGACGCTCCTCACTTCCCAGACGGGGTGGTTGCCGGACGGAGGGGCTCCTCACTTCTCAGACGGGGCGGTTGCCAGGCAGAGGGTTTCCTCACTTCTCAGACGGAGCGGCGGGGCAGAGACGCTCCTCACCTCCCAGACAGGGTTGCGGCCCAGCAGAGGCGCTCCTCACATCCCAGACAGGGCGGTGGGGCAGAGGTGCTCCCCACATCTCAGACGATGGGCGGCCGGGCAGAGACGCTCCTCACTTCCTAGATGGGATGGCAGCCGGGAAGAGGCGCTCCTCGCTTCCTAGATGGGATGGCGGCCGGGCAGAGACGCTCCTCACTTTCCAGACTGGGCAGCCAGGCAGAGGGGCTCCTCATATCCCAGACGATGGGTGGCCAAGCAGAGACGCTCCTCACTTCCCAGACGGGGTGGCGGCCGGGCAGAGGCTGCAATCTCGGCTCTTTGGGAGGCCAAGGCAGGCGGCTGGGAGGTGGAGGTTGTAGCGAGCGGAGATCACGCCACTGCACTCCAGCCTGGACACCACTGAGCACTGAGTGAACGAGACTCCGTCTGCAATCCCGGCACCTCAGGATGCCGAGGCTGGCAGATCACTCGCGGTTAGGAGCTGGAGAGCAGCCCGGCCAACACAGCGAAACCCCGTCTCCACCAAAAAAAAACCGAAAACCAGTCAGGTGTGGCGGCGCGCGCCTGCAATCGCAGGCACTCGGCAGGCTGAGGCAGGAGAATCAGGCAGGGAGGTTGCAGTGAGCCGAGATGGCAGCAGTACCGTCCAGCTTTGGCTCGGCATCAGAGGGAGACCGTGGAGGGAGACGGGAGAGGGAGAGGGAGAGGGAGAGGGAGAGGGAGAGGGAGAGGGAGAGGGAGAGGGAGAGGGAGAGGGAGAGGGAGAGGGAGACGGGAGAGGGAGAGGGAGACGGGAGAGGGAGAGGGAGACGGGAGAGGGAGAGGGAGACGGGAGAGGGAGAGGGAGACGGGAGAGGGAGAGGGAGACGGGAGAGGGAGAGGGAGACGGGAGAGGGAGAGGGAGACGGGAGAGGGAGAGGGAGACGGGAGAGGGAGAGGGAGACGGGAGAGGGAGAGGGAGACGGGAGAGGGAGAGGGAGACGGGAGAGGGAGAGGGAGACGGGAGAGGGAGAGGGAGACGGGAGAGGGAGAGGGAGACGGGAGAGGGAGAGGGAGACGGGAGAGGGAGAGGGAGACGGGAGAGGGAGAGGGAGACGGGAGAGGGAGAGGGAGACGGGAGAGGGAGAGGGAGACGGGAGAGGGAGAGGGAGACGGGAGAGGGAGAGGGAGACGGGAGAGGGAGACGGGAGAGGGAGACGGGAGAGGGAGAGGGAGAGGGAGACGGGAGAGGGAGAGGGAGACGGGAGAGGGAGAGCAAATCAAGTTCTTTTAAGATGGAAAATATTTTCAAGGTAGGGAATTGTCACTGCAGAGTAACCCCAAGTCTTTCAGCAAGCCCCAAAACCTGTGAAATTAACCAGTGTTCACAGCTGTGCTTGCTTTAAAAAATGGAGGCTGGAAGCCAGTAACCACAAACAAGCCACAAGATGAGAAGGGAGCTCAGCAGTGCTACCCTGACCTGAATCTTCACCTCATTACCACATTGAAATCTCCGCCCTGGGGGGTTGGGGGATTGGGGGTGGAGGTGCACTTTGCCGGGGCACATGCAGTGCTGGAGTGAAGGAGAGACTGCACACACTCCAGTTCTCCCTGGAAAGCCCTATCTTTCCAGGAATCCCCGCCCCCAGGCTCTGCCTACTGCCCTAAGACATCTTACAAATCCCTCTTCGCCCTACTCCCACCCCCCCACCCCCCCGCCCCAAGAAGGTGCTTTGAGCACAGGCTCCCCTTCTCCATTCCTTGATCAATGATAAAGTTTCTGCTCTGCTTAACCGAACCTGGTCTCAGTCTATTGGCATGAACGGCACCAAGCAGGGAAAAAACCCCACTGGGATCAAATACCCCCTTGAGGGTCGGTAACAGAATCAGTACAAAGGATGCAAGTATGAGCTCCAGAATATAGATGAAAATGCTCAGCAGAAAAAAAACAAAAACAAACAAACCAAAAAACTTGTCCAAAGGTGGCTGCATCCAGACCCTGTCAGATCCTCACAAATGACAGCTCTTTACCTCAGGGGCATCGGATAATATCAGGCTCAGGCTGTTCCAGGAGTCGGAGTCCCAGCTCAGTATCAGGCCGTTCCTTCTCCAGGGTTCTCAGGAACTCTGCCGTCGACGCCTAGGGGTCTCTAGTGAGGGGAAGTGGCGGCAGGCCGGCGATTTGGGGCAAGGGGTGAGAGTCAACGAAGCTGCCACTGTGATGACAGTGGCCCTAAGATCCCTCTTCTTACCCTCCCGCCCCTCCCCGAGTGCTGGAGTCTTAGCCTGTGGGACACCCCTCCCCGCGCTCTCTCCTCCCACCCCCGCCAAGCCCGCCCCTTCGTTGCCAGAGCCAGAGGGCTCTCCTTGCGCGCTGTCGGTCCCCAGTCCGCGTGCGGCGAGTCCGGGGACATCGGCGCTTCAGGGCCGCCAGCACATGCCCCGTGTGGATGCCCACGGCCTCCCAACCGGGCCGGGCTTGGGATTTCTCTCCCAGCCTCAGACCCTGGCCTGTCCCCCTCTGCCCGAGGGTCATCGCTCCGGCCTCGACGCCCTCCAGCTGCCGCCCTCGCCCCGCTCCGCGCGCCTGGGCCCGGGTGTCCTCGCAGGGTTCCCACCGCAGGGGACCCCCCACCACGCCTTCCCCCGCCTCAGAGCAGCTGCTGTCTGACCAGGCGCTCCTGTCGCCTCAACGCATGCCGCCCGACGTGGCCCCCTCCCTCCCGGCGCGTCTGTGACCACGGCTTCGATGGCCTTGTCCCTGCCCCCGGGCCTTGGTCTAGCGCGCGCCGCACAGGCGTCCTTCCCCTCCCTGACGACCCTGTCTCCTCCCTCATGCCTTGTGGCCGGCTGTCCCTCCCCCACCCCCAGCCCCACTCGGCCTCTCCTAGCCTCCCCCTTTCTCTGCACCCACGAGTCTAAAGGACAGCGCCCCCCTCGCGATGTCCCGCAGCTGGCCCTTGGAGGTTCCTGGGTGTCGCACGGCTTCTTCCTTTCGGGGACCCCTCTCCTTTCCTGAGTGGCCACTGGCGCTCCATCTCTTGAAGGGGTACCCCTCAGCAGCTTGCGCCCCCTGACGCCGCCTTCCCTGTTCCTAGGGGCGGAGGGAAGCCCTACCCCAGGTATCCCCCAGCACATGTGTGCACCGCTGTAGATCCCCCCTCTCCTGAGACGCAAGGCCCCTCTCGCTGACACCGCCTCCGCTCCGGTTCCTTATGCTCTCCTTGACTTTATTTTTCCGGCCAGGCCGAAGTTGTTGCTGGATCCCCGGCCCACAGTCCAATCCCATGAGAGCAGCCTGCGGGGTGCGGTGGGGGAGGGCCGGCAAACACATCCACCCAGCAGCCCAGGTCACACACAGGCCGATAGGAAGGCTCGCCCTTCTTGGCCCAAACCGAAGGGCTTCCACCATGCCCATTCTCCCCAGACTTGCATTTTTAAGCCTTTTAACTCTAAATGGACTTCTTTTTCTACTTTTAAAGGAATTTCAGGAATTACGTTGATGGTATCACGTTTCGCCTCTGCAAGCTCTCTAGCTTTATTGCCTGTTATCTCTATACCCTACTCCCACTTGCCTGCCCCTAGAGTTGTCCATTCCATTCTGTTTATCTTTCGTTTTTATGTGTTCTTGCCAAAAATTGTCTTGTTTTGCTGACATGCTTTTAAATTTGTGTAAGAGGAATTGTATTCTCATTCCATTTCTTTTTCAATGCTAAGATTTTAAGATTGGTTCATGTACCTTCTGCCCCTTCTAATTACTGCCCCTTGGGCCCATCTGCCTTGTTTTACCCTTCCCTTTACCTATCCTGCTCCCACTAGTAACAGTGCAATAGGCATTCTCATAATACCCCCTTATGCTTCACTTCTCAAACAGGGTACAATGTATCACCTGGGAATCTTGTTAAAATGCAGGCTCTTGGCCAGGCACGGTGGCTCACGCCTGTAATCCCAGCACTTTGGGAGGCTATGGTGGGCAGATCACCTGAGGTCAGGGATTCAAGACCAGCCTGGCCAACATGGTGAAACCCTGTCTCTACTAAAAATACAAAAGTTTGTCGGACTCGGTGGCAGGCGCCTGTAATCCCAGCTACTCAGGAGGCTGAGGCAGGAGAATTGCTTGGACCTGGGAGGTGGAGCGCAGTGAGCCGAGATTGCACCACTGCACTCCAGCCTGGACAACAGAGCAAGACTCTGTCTCAAAAAAAAAAAAAAAAAAATGCAGACTCTGATTCGGCCTGTCTGGAGCAGGGCCTGAGACTGTATTTCCAACCAGCTTCCAGGTGATGCCTGTGTTGCTGATTCTGGGACTACATTTTGAGGGGCAAGGCCCTTATGGACCTCTGTGAAAATTCATTCTGGGGTTCTGGGTCCTAGGGTATATGTGGATCTAATTTGATGAGTATTGCCCATCAGCTCTCTAGTCTGGGTGCACCTCCTTACCCCATACCAGCTGGGCAGGAGGGTAAAAGGTATATAGTCTGTGGGGAAAGGAAGAAGGTCTTCTCCTTGCTGCTGCCCACATCCCATCCACTAGAGCATCTGGTCAGGGCCCCAAACTCCTCTCTCCCTTCATTGGAATGGACCCAAGGCTCCAGAGCAACGTCCCTGGCTAGCAATGCATGGCCAAGTCAATGATGGATCTAGGCCAGGCAGCCTGGTCTCTGCCCTCACCACATGGGATCCTGAATCCTCAGCTTGCCATCTAGATTGGCTTGACTCATGACTTCCCTAGGCCTGGGCTTTAGCTCTGATAGGAGCTCTTGAGAAGCCTTGGGGTCTTCAGTTAGTTAGGTTGTTTGTGTTTCCTTTGCCCCCTTCACCTTCCCTTGAGTAGCCTGGTAGGACTCAGATGGCCTGGCCTTGCCACTGGCAACTGGCTATCCTGGGCCTGACTTCTCATCTCTAAAATGGGATGGTCACAGCATAGCTATAATTTGTGGTGCTAGGAGTGGTCCCAGGTCCTTCACTCACATGCCAGAGCCCTAAGACAGGGGTTCTTGCCTTAGTTTTACCCATGAGGAAAGTGAAGTTGAGGAAGGTTTAGCGATTTCCACTAAGGGCATGGAGTTAGTAAGTGAGAGTGCTGGGACTCACGCCCAGCCTCAGCTCATGCACCAAAACCCATCCAACCATGAGACCACATCAGCCCCATGTCCTACCTCGCTCTCACTACCATGCCATAATGCGGGAGAAATACAAAGAAACAGAAAGGAAGGACTGGACCTTGGGTTTTGGCACTGATGCTGAAGGCATCTAATCCGTGGCATGGAGGGTTGCAAAAGTCTAAGGCAAAAATGAACCAGGGTTCTAGGGGCTAGCCCCAAGGCCCTGAGTATTTATGGGACAAAAGAGGGGGACCTTGGGTCTGGGGCTTCAAGAGCAAGGATTTTAGGGTTATACATAAAGCAGGGATCAGAACTGGGCAGGAGTTGGGGATGGCCAGGGCTTGGGTGGGGGTCAGGTGTGGATAAAGTTGTCTATCATGTACCTTACTTGGTAATTACCGATCACTCAATGTTTTGTTGGAGGGGCCAGCAAGTGAACGAACGGCCAGCATTCAGGGCATCAAAGGATTGCCCTTTCCAAAGCCCTTCTGGTGCCTGAGCGGCTTGCTGGGTCAGTTTTGGAAACCCTGGGGCTGTGCTGTCCCCACTCACACAGCTGTGCAAGCATCTGGCACCCAGCCCCAGGCCCAAGCATTTCATAATCAAAATAGTTCAACATCTGCACATTTTGAGATTTCATGGCACATGACCTTTTACATCTTGTACACACTTAACCGACCTCTTGTTTACCATTTTAGGGCCAAAATTCTATCCAGGACAGAGAGTTGATCTGAAAGCCCAGAGAAGCTTCCTGTTCCTTCAACAGTCTTTGGGGTCAAAAGATCTTATGCGCCTACAGAAAGTTCTTAGAGCTCAAAACAACATCTTACAGGTTTTTGGCTTCTACAAAATGCTTCACAAATAGATATTGTCTTTGACTCACAACAACCCCATGACAGAAGTGGCCCACGTAACATTGAGGCTCAAATGAATTAATTGGCCAAGGCCACACATTGTGTAAGTGGGTGAAATGGGATTTCTTGATCATTTTTCCATAACAGACCTTGGGATTCTTAGAGAGTGAGTAGGTGCTGTCTGACCCCAGTTGGCCCATTTCTCAGACTTGGGGATGCAGACTGAGGCAGGAAGTAGGAAGTCTAGGGAGGAGGATGCGTGGGCTGCAAGGTTTGGAGAGCGAGTGAGTTGAGGTCTCCTGGGGCTTCTGGCCAGCCTTCTCCCTGATAGATTTTTGTCACTGGGACCCTCTCTAGAGTCTGTGGTTCTCCTGGAAGTGGAAAGAGGGGATTGGTGGGAGGAATGGCAAGGCCAGTGGTACCCAGGTAGAAGTTCTCAGTGAGTCTGAAGCTGAGACAGCTGAGTGGCTATGAGAAAAAGATGCTGTCAGTTGCCAAGGGGGCCCCACGGGTATCATCACATCCATATGGGCGCTATCAGTGGCTTGGTCAAGCTCTGCCCCTGGCTAAGCAATTTTCACCAATGGCTAAGCCATCTGTCTTGCCCCCTCTTCTCAAAGCCCCCAGCCCCTCACACCAGGAACCTGCAGCATTGACTTGAGGAAGGAGTCCGGGGTCAGGCCAGTCTACCTGTTAGGGACTAGGGGTCTGGGCCCTGCCAAGGCAGGGAGCCCTGATCCCATTGCCCTCCCTCTCCCCGTGGGGTCTCAGGCCCTAGGCCAGGGCTCAACAGACACAGGCAGTGGGATGGGGTTGCCCTTCTATTGATCCAAATCCTGAGTGTCGCCTGGGTGAGTCATGGAGGTGAGGAGGCCCACAAGGCTCAGCAGTGTGGAGAAGAGCAGCAGGAAGGAGGCCGTGAAGAGGAGGGCAGGCAGAGCACTGAGCACCAGCAGCAGGAGAGCCGGTAGCAGGTGGCGCCACACCGCGGCCACGACAGGCCACAAGGAGCTCAGCAGGTGGGAGCCAGTGGTGAAGAGTGCATGGCACAACATCAGTGCCAGCAGCAGGTAGAGTATCCCCTCCAGACCCCACAGCAGGCGCTGCAGCGGTTGCCGCCAGTTCGAGGTGCTCCACCACTGGATCCAGCTCGGGGGCATGTGGCTCACCCACCAGCGCACCCAGCCATGCCTCGTGACCCAGGCTGACCAGGGCACTGCCTGCTGTGGCCCCTCGCCAGCCCCGATGGTATCTGTCTCCACTCGCGGCTGCTGCATCATGTCTGGTGCACCTGGGGAGAGGGCCAGGGTCTTGAAGATGCCTGGGACCTTGGGGGGGGGGGGCAGAGAGGGGGTGCAGGGGTCAGGAGGGCACCAGTGTGCGTGGGGTGGGGCTACAGAATTAGGGACTGGGACTTACCTCTGGGCAGTTACCTAAGTCATGTTGCTTCCTGCAGCGCCCAGGACGGCCTGGCAGGCAGATCCAAGTCCCCACTCTCATCTACCCCCACCCTCCCCAGAGGAGCCCCTTTGTGACCCGGGCTGGGGTGGGGTCCAGCCAAGAGAGGAGTCACTGTAGGGTGTGAGGCCCACCCAAGTCCCTCTGCACGGACCCTCCAGGCTGGCAGGGGAGCCTCGGAGCCCCGCAGATGTAGTTTCTCATGCTTTCTCATGGGAAGCCCTCCCTGGATCCCTGTCCCTTTCCTGCTTTCCCTGCTGGCTGATATCCACCCCTTTCCAAACTGCTCTCTCGCAAGTCTTTCTGTCTGGACCTTCATTCTCTAGAGCCACAGAGGAGGCCAGAGTGGCTGCCCCCAATCCACAGGCTCTGAGGTGGCTGCCACATTCTTCCTTGGGCTCCCTGGCTAGTATCCTACCTTCTCTTGCTGCCCAAAGACTCAGATCCAGGTATCTGATACCTATATTATAGGACTGTGAGGTTCAGGCTGGGAAGAAAGGGGTATCATCCCACCTGCCCAGCCAGGAAGGAGAAAAGGGGGCCTGATGAAGAAGGGTGGTCATTGTATATTTGAAGGACACTGAGTTGTGGGGAGGGGCTCTCAGGCCCAAGGATGGAGGCAGAAAGCCAGGCCAAGCAGGGTCAAGGGCATGCCACAGGCTCTCAGGAGCGGGCCCAGCCCCATGAGCAGCAGCAGCAGTGCGTCCTGGAGGCTAAGTTGTCCTGAGACTGTACCCATTTGCAGGAGTAGAGCCTCCTGCTGTCCAGGACCTTCACCGGCCCCCTGACTCTGGCCCCTGGTGAGAAGTTTGCGCTGTGGCAGAGTGTGACCTGCGGGCCTGTGGAGAGAGAGGGTGGTGACTGGGCTTAGGGAAGTTGTCCACTGGCCCGCCCGCCTACAATGCCCACCTGCCAGGCTGCTGCCCACTTACCTATGGAGCAGGTCAAAGGTGAGGAAGCTGACCAGAAGCAGCAGCAGGGCTGGGCCAGTGGTGGAAAAGACTGCCTGGATTGTCAGTCCTAGTGCCCCCAGCCATAGGACACTGTCCAGGAGCTGGGCCCAGCTAGGGCCCCAGGTGGATACAGGTGGACGCACTGGACTACCTGACCCCTCCCCAGCACCCAGGCCCCTTGGAGGAACTGGGATCGGATCCTCACGTGCTTCGGGTCTGGGTAAGCAGAGCCGGGTCATGGAGAGAGGTGGAGGTGACGGGAAGACCTAGTGCTGAAAAGGATTATAAGGGTGAGAGTAGGGGAAGGGGTAGGGCCCGGGCAGACAGAAGGGTGAGCTCAGAGTGGGGAATTAGGCTCCTGCAGAGTCTCCCCCTCCCCCATACCCACCCAGCAAACCCTCCTCACCTCCTCCCACTTTGGTCAGCATTCTGGGAGTGGGCACCCGGGGCATTGTGACCTGTTACCACGTGGGGCCGTGGGGTAGGGAGGGGGCTGCTGCTGCTGCTGCTCTGACCTCATAAGCAGCTGGTGGCCTAGGTGGGGCTTAGCTGGGAAGTCAGGGATTTCTGAGAACTAAGACTCATCCTCTTGCCTTTGCTGATTCTCTGCCCTAGGGCCCTCCCTTGGGGATCTGAGTTGTCAGGAAGGCATTCTAACCCCATTACTACTTGGGCATCTGTCCAAGGGAGCGAGGTCTGCTTTCTTCTTCCTGTGAGTTTGCAGAGCTGCAGGTCCAGGGCGAAGTCATTCAATATCTCTGTCCCCAGCTGTCTTCCCTGTGGGTCCTTCTAGGGGATTTTTCAGGCCTGAAGTTCCAGATTGCAGAGATGGGCTCTGCCAGGGGACTGCCTGAGGCTTCTGGGGCTGGGCTTCCGCATAACCTGCTAAATGGGGGTGAGAGAGGAGGGGGCTGTTCAGGTATTCTAAGCACTACAGTTTATAGGGGGTGTTATGCATACTGGGGTTCCAGTAATGAGGTAGAGGACATGAACTTAAGAGGACTATGACCTAGTAACCCCCTTATTAGAGGTTAAGGTTACAGTCTGAGAATGGAGTTAAGGAAAATGAACATATAATGAAGGGCTTAGTCACTTGGATTATCAGTATATCAGATTACACTGATCATCTGTAAATGGGTGGTGGCCATAGGGGTCCAGCACATCTCAGTTTAGTGACTTGAGAGGCAAGAGCGGAAATGTGTCATAATTAAGAGAACTTAATCTTTGCCCACATATCATACTTTGAAGGAAAACTGGTAGGGGTGGCAAAATGGGAGACAGTGGCCATACAGCCCCTAGGAGAGGAGGAGACAGAACAAGAATCAGGCTGCATATCCACCTCCAGCAGGCCTTGCCCAGAGACGAGGGTCACCAGCCCTAATGACCATGCACTGATCGCCCTTGGTCTGGCTGTTCTTGCTTATCCAGCAGCTGGGTTTTACGAGTAGATTTGTCCGTAATGGGATAGGGTATAACAGAAGATCCCAGAATTTTTTTTTTTTTGGCATTAAGTTCCAATTGTGCTTGTAAAGGAACATTAAGGTTTAAGATTGGCAATTCCCTGAGCCTGATCAATCCTGGATGCATCCACACAATTGCATTCCTGGACATACAGACCTGGGGAGCATGTCCTGATGAGTCCACCAAGATGAGGCTACTCCATATTGCAGGGCATGGGGGGATCGGAGAGTCTAAAGCTCCTTAAAGATTTACTATGCACCAGGTGCTCTGTATGCATGTATAGGAGAGTTCTGTCTGTGATTTTCTCAGAGTTTATTTTGTATTCAACAATCATTTATTTAAGTGCTTCCTATGTGCCAGGCACTGCACCAGATGGTGGGTGTATTAGGCCATTCTTGCGTTGCTATGAAGAAATACCTGAGACTGGGTAATTTATAAGAAAAGAGGCTTAATTGGCTTGCAGTTTTGCAGGCTGTACAGGAAGTAGGGTACCAGCATCTGCTTTTGGGGAGACCTCAGGAAACTTCCAATCATGGCAGAAGGCAAAGGGTGAAGAGCAAGGGAGAGAGTGGTGGTTAGGGGAGTTGCCACACACTTAAACAACCAGATCTTGAGAGAACTCACTCACTATTTCAAGGACAGCACCAAGCCATGAAATATCCACCCCCATGACCCAAACACCTCCCATCAGGCCCTACCTCCAACATTGGGATTTGAGATTTCAACTTGAGATTTGGACAAATATTCAGACTATATCAATGGGTCATAATTTCTAAAAGTAGAGCCTGAGATGGGGATACTTGTACACATGGTTTATTGAGGGAGTGCTCTGAGGAGGAAAACCTTTCTTTCTATTTTTTTTTTTTTTTTTTTTTGAGACAGAGTTTCGCTCTTGTTGCCCAGGCTGGAGTGCAATGGCGCCATCTTGGCTCACTGCAACCTCCGCCTCCCGGGTTTAAGTGATTCTCCTGCTTCAGCCTCCCAAGTAACTGAGATTACAGGCACCCACCACCACACCCAGCTAATTTTTGTATTTTTAGTAGAGACAGGGTTTCACCATGTCGGCCAGGCTGGTCTCAAACTCCTGACCTCAGGTGATGTGACCGCCTCAGCCTCCCAAAGTGCTGGGATTACAGGTGTGAGCCACCCTGCCCGACCAGAAGGGAAAGATTTTTAAAAATCAAGAGACTCTTCAGAATTGAAGGACATGATTCTCTAGACCATAACTTTCCACCAATTCACAGCCCAATACATGAAACAGGGCAGCTAACATCAAGGCATATAATGAAATTCACATTAGCAGGGATAAAAAGACAATCCTAAGAGCTTCCACCAAATAAAAACATCACATACATCGGATCTGAAGCAAGAATGGTATCACACTTCTAAACACCAATACTGGTAGCTAGAAGACAATAAATGCCCTCAAAATGATGTCTAATATAGAAATGTATAGGTCTGAATGATTATTAATTGGGAGGGTAGAATAATGACATTTCAATCATACAAGGTCTCAGAAATTTGACCTTGCATATACCCTTTCTTAGAAAGCTACTGGAGGATGTGCTTCAGCAAAACAAAGAATTAAACTAAGAAAGAGAGCAATATGGCATTCAATAAATGAGATTAAGCACAGAAAAGGGACGATGAGAAAGGCCTGGGATGTCAACTATACCCCCGGGTAAAGAAAGTAACCAACCCAGCCTGAAATCAGAAGATGTGCTCTAGGAGCGATGTCTCCAGAGGAAAATGAAATCAACTGATTATTAGCTATGTTTGGCTATATTGAGTAAATGTTCAGTTACACTGGAAGCTTTGCGATTGAATTAATGAGTGATGCCTAGAAAACTAAGCAAATGATAAAAACAAAGTAATTACTAACTCCAGGTAGCACAAATTTAAACATAATATTTACATAGTCATAACAAAAGCACTGAATATTGATTCCAAATAGCAATTGAGCTTTACTGAAAATGGAAGGAGGGAGTGTATGTTTGTGTATCTGGATGTGTGTATTGAGGGGAGGGTGGTAGAAAAACTAACGCCTTAATTTCATAGCAGAAATCCACAGATAACAACTACATAAAGAAAAATCAAGAAATGCACAGTGACTCACACCTGTAATCCCAGAACTTTGGGAGGCTGAGGTGGGCAGATCACTTGAGGCCAGGAGTTCAAGACCAGCCTGGCCAACATGGTAAAACCCCATCTCTACTAAAAATACAAAAATTAACTGAGCATGGTGGCAGGCACCTGTAATCCCAGCTACTTGAGTGGCTGAGGCACGAGGATCACTTGAGCCTGGGAGGCAGAGGTTGCAGTGAGCCTCAGCTCACTGCACTCCAGCCTGGACAGCAGAGCAAGAAATTGTCTTTTAAAAAAAAGAAGAAGAAGGAGAAAAGAAAAGAAAAAAGAAAAAAAAGGAAATAGCAAGAAATCTAAGCATAGAGATAAAGACAGGAGAAATAACAAAAAGAACTAAAAGTGCTTGGCTTGGGAAAGGCATAGAGCCGACTCTTCCATTACAAGCCTAAATGTGATTTACCTTTAAAACTATATTGTAGACTGGACCTCTATGGAAAACTGTATGAAGATTTATCAGATAACTAAACAGAGATCTACATTCAATTCAGCAACCTCACTACTGGATATCTACCCAAAGGAAAATAAGTTATTATATCAAAAAGACACCTGCATACATAGTTTATTGCAGCACAGTTCACAATTGCAAAGATATGGAACCAATCTAAGTGCCCATCAACTGATGAGTGAATAGAGGGAATGTGCTATGTGTGTGCATGCACACACACACACACACACACACACACACACACACACACACCATGGAATACTACTCAGCCATAAAAAAGAGTGAAATAATGTCTTTTGGATGGAACTGGAGGTCATTATTCTAAGTGAAGTAACTAAGGAATGGAAAGCCAAATACCATATGTTCTCACTTATAAATGGAAGCTGGCGGGACACGGTGGCTCACTCCTGTAATCCCAACACTTTGGGAGGCTGAGGCGGGTGGATCACGAGGTCAGGAGATCGAGACCATCCTGACTAACACGGTGAAACCCGTCTCTACTAAAAACACAAAAAATTAGCTGGGCGTGGTGGCGGCACCTGTAGTCCCAGCTACTCGGGAGGCTGAGGCAGGAGAATGGCATGAACCCAGGAGTCGGAGCTTGCAGTGAGCCGAGTTCACGCCACTGCATTCCAGCCTGGGCAACAGAGCGAGACTCTGTCTCAAAAAAAATAAATTAAATAAAAATAAATAAATGGAAACTAAGCTGTGGGTATGCAAAGGCATACAGAATGGTATAATGGACATTGGAGACTCAGAAGGAGGAGGGTAAGCGGGGGGTGACAGATAAAAAAAACTGCATGTTGCATACAATGTACACTACTCGGGTGATGGGCGCTCTAAGATTTCAAACTTCACCACTATACAGTTCTCCCCTGTAACCAAAAACCGCTGGTACCCCTAAAGCAATTGAAATAAAAATAGAAACTATGTTGTAGCCTGGATGACATAGCGAAAACTTGTCTCTTAAAAAAAAAAAAATGTGGCCGGGTGCAGTGGCTCACACCTGTAATCCCAGCACTTTGGGAGGCCCAAGGCGGGCAGATCACAAGGTCAGGAGATTGAGACCGTCCTGGCTAACAAGGTGAAACTCCATCTCTACTAAAAATACAAAAAATTAGCCGGGTGTGGTGGCACACGCCTGTAATCCCAGCTACTTGGGAGGCTGAGGCAGGAGAATCGCTTGAACCCAGAGGCGGAGGTTGCAGTGAGCCGAGATCGCACCACAGCACTCCAGCCTGGTGACAGAGTGAGATTTAGTCTCAAAAAAAAAAAAAAAAAAAAAAAAAAAAAGGTAGAAATTAGCTGAGCGTGGTGACACGTCCCAGATACTTGGGAGGCTGAGGTGGGAGGATCGCTTGAACCCAGGAGTTCCAGACTGCAGTGAGCTGTGATTACACTATTGCACTCCAGCCTAGGCTGTGGGAAAGAGAGTTTCTGGGGTGCCAGCTGAGTTAGTCTTCCCTGTGTGAGACACCCATGGGAAGCCATGCGCGGCCTCTGAGGAGAAAAGTCTCCTTATTGCCTTCATGTCTTTACGCCCGAGAGCAGAACCCCTCAGCGGCATTCCACAGGTTGCTCAGGCATATAACACTCCCTTGAAGCAGTGGAGTATAATCAAACATCTTGGCTCCTCCTGAAACCCACTCCCACCCGTTTCAGTCCCGATAAGTTAAAGATTTGTTTTGTTTTGTTTTTGTTTGAGACGGAGTCTCGCTCTGTCGCCCAGGCTGGAGTGCGGTGGCTCGATCTCGGCTCACTGCAAGCTCCGCCTCCCGGGTTCACGCCATTCTCCCGCCTCAGCCTCCCGAGTAGCTGGGACGACAGGCGCCCGCCACCACGCCCGGCTAATTTTTTGTATTTTTAGTAGAGACGGGGTTTCACCACGTTGGCCAGAGTGGTCTCGAACTCCTGACCTCAAGCGATCCACCCACCTCAGCCTCCCAAAGTGCTGGGATTACAGGCGTGAGCCACCGCGCCCGGCCAGTTAAAGATCTTAAGTAGTTTGACACTCCTCTTTGCTCAAGGAAATTCACAGAAACCGCCACTGCTATACATCTTACAGAATGACTCTCCAGTTCTCCTTCACTGATTAATCCTTTCCCTCATCCCTTCCTCCTCCTCCCATCTGCCCTAAGAACAAAGAGCTTGTAAACCAATAAATTGGGCGGAGCCTGAGAACTCTGGGCCGTGAGCAAGCCTCCGACGCTCCGGTCCCCTGGACCCGCCTTTTAAACGCTTATTCTGTCTCTTTCTAACTCCTTTGTCTCCGCCGGACTCGGGGTAACCGCTAGGCGTTATGGGGCTGTTTTCCCCAACATAGGCAACAGAGCAGGACAGTGTCTCTAAAAAAACAAAACCAAAACTATATTTTGTACTATTCTGATAAAAATGACTTAGTTACAAACAAAGAACAAATCAACAGATAGTCATGCTGTGGAGATCAGGAATATTCCTTCCCAGGGTAAATGAAAGACCAATTCCCTAACGTCATGTGGATATACGCTTGTGGCTTAAGATAAAATTACCCGTGACAGCATCAAATACCAGGGATAAAACTCAGTCTTCAACACGCATATGTATCTCCTGGGGTTGAATCCTCTGGAGGTCTTGTTAAAAATGCAGATTCTGGTCAAGAGTTCGAGACCAGCCTGGCCAATATGGTGAAACCCTGTCTCTACTAAAAACACAAAAATTAGCTGGGTGTGGTGGTGGACGCCTGTAGTCCCAGCTACTCAGGAGACTGAGGCAGGAGAATTGCTTGAACCCGGGAGGTGGCAGTTTAGTGAGCTGAGATCGGGCCACTGCACTCCAGCCTGGGAGACAGAGTGAGACTCTGTCAAAAAAAAAAAAAAAAAAAAATGCATATTCTGATTCAATAGGTCTGGGGCAGAGGTGTTTTTTTTGTTTGTTTGTTTTTTGTTTTTTGGTTTTTTTTTTGGTTTTTTTTTTTTGACAGAGTCTAGCTCTTTCACCTAGGCTGGAGTGCATGACACCATCCCAGCTCACTGCAACCTCCGCTTCTTGGGTTCAAGCGATTCTCCTGCCTCAGCCTCCTGAATAGCTGGGATTACAGGCGTGCACCACCACACCCAGCTAAGTTTTGTATTTGTAGTAGAGATGGGGTTTCACCGTGTTGGCCAGGTAAGTTTTGTATTTGTATTTGGTCTTGAACTCCTGACCTCAGGTGATCCGCCCGCCTCGGCCTCCCAAAGTTCTGGGATTACAGGCGTGAGCCACTGCACCCGGCCTGTTCTGCATTTCTAACAAGTTCCCAGGGGATGCTACTGCTGCTGGTCTTCAACCACACTTTGTGGAGCAAGGCTCTCAAAGACCTTGATGTATGTAGGAGAGAAAGCTGGGGTAGAGAGTGATGAGGGGAGAACGGGTGCGTGGGGAGATGCTCCCCTGTGCATCCTGGTCCCATGTGAGGCTCCAACAATGCTCACCTACATCACAGGGAGAGCACCTAGCAGGAAATGAGTTCTGCTTTAGCATCCAGGCACAGGAGATTAGAGGCACAGGCAGGCAGTAGATTCTACTTCATTATTTGTGCAGCTGGACACAGAGCTTCCTTTCTTTTCCTTGATACTGTTTTATTCCATCTAAGTATGTAGGAGTAAGAGGGCTGTGTTACACTGTTTTCCCCACCTTTAATGCATCTGATCAACCTAGGAGCCCCCTAAGACCCTATATTATCTCACTTTATCATCACAGCAAACCTGGGAGAAGGATATGGTTCCTGTTTTACAGATGAGGAAACTAAGTCTCAGGGAGGTGAAACTACTGCCCAAGGATAGCCAAACAAAATACACGTCAGAAGTGGGATGTGAAACGAAGCCTGTATGTCACCAGAGTCACCTATCCTCTCCCCCTCCAACCACCTAACCACACCAGGGAGTTGGCAGGAGATTCCTAGCCCACCCCTTACATTAAAATCCCTTTTAGGCGGGTGCCACTATCCAGTCCTTCTCAATTGCACCTAGTGAGACCACGAAAGATCTTCTACCTGGCTCCTGGTAGATGAGATCTGGCTATACAGGTACTTGGGTGCAAACCTGCCCCTCTGCCCCTGGAGCTATCACCTCCAGATCCTGCTACTTGTACCTTTGCAGCCCCAGGTAGCCAGTGGCAAGGGCCAGGGGTGGCAGCAGGGCTGGGAGTGGAGAAGAGTGTGAGAAAGTGCTGCGGGGCTCAGGAGACACAGCAGGGAACCAAGGGGTCCTAAGGGTTGCAATAGAGGACAGGGGCAGGGAGTGCAGAGTGGTGGGAAGGGGGATGGGAGCTGGGTGCAGGAGACATAAGAGATGGAGCATCCCGGCCACACACGGTGGCTCACACCTGTTATCCCAGCACTTTGGGAGGCCGAGGTGGGTGGATCACGAGGTCAGGAGATCGAGACCATCCTGGCTAACACGGTGAAACCCCGTCTCTACTAAAAACACAAAAAATTAGCCAGGCGAGGTGGTGTGCACCTGTAGTCCCAGCTTCTTGGGAGGCTGAGGCAGGAGAATGGCGTGAACCCAGGAGGTGGAGCTTGCAGTCAGCTGAGATCCCGCCACTGCATTCCAGCCTGGGTGACAGAGTGAGACTCGTCTCAAAAAAAAAAAGAATAAAAGAAAAAAGAGGTGGAGCATCCTGCAGCCCTGGCCCCTAAAAGATTGGTGGGAGAGTGCCAGCTGCTCCACCCTAGTCACTTTGGGAACTGGTCTTTCAGTTCACGGCCTGCCATGTCCTCTCCTGCAAATCCTGGCACTGTTGAGGAGGTCCTTTCAGCCCTGGTTTGTCCACTCTAACCTTGAATATATTATACACACACTTTATGAGAGCTGACGAGGGACCAGGTGCTGTTCTAGGCTCTGAGGTGCAGCTGTGGACATTTGGGTACAAAGTTCTTCTGGCAGGGTACTTACCTCCTGCTGGGGGTGGGGGAACCTGAACAGCCAACACATAAGTAAAGCAAGATCATCTCGGTGTTGAGTGCCTTGAAGACAATAATTTAAACGGGTGGGAGGATAGAGTGTGTGAAGTGAAAAAGTTTGCTTTAGTCAGGGTAGTCAGGGAAAGCCTTTGGGAGCAGGTGATATTGAAAGGAAATCTGACTGAGAAGGCAAATTCCATGCACAAATTAAAAGGCCAGGAGGCTAGTTGGGCTGTTGCGTGGGAGGAGCAGCTAGAATGCCGGAGTGACTGGGGGGATGGGAGCCAGGGGATAGGGAGGCAGATGGAATGGGAAAGGCGTGGGCAGGAAGAACTTGGTCATGAAGACCTTGCAGGTGAACCCACTGGGGCCTTAAGCCTGGAGGAACTTGACAGAATTTGCCTACTGTGTGGGGAACGGCTTGGAGGGGGTGTGGGCTTCAGGAGGCTGAGATGTCCTGTTTCTTGTGCCCCCTCCTTTCTTCCCAACACCCGAGAAACCTGGATGGGTGTGGGGACCAGAGACCTGGAGGTGGCCAGATTGGGCTTTGGCGGGACGCTTAGCAGCCCTCGGGACCTGTTCAGACTGCGGCCTCCCACCTTCGGGAAGCATCGGCGCTGCCCATCTGCCCCTGCCTGGCGTCCAGGGAGTCCCGGCTGTGCAGCGCTTCCCTTGAAATGTCTCTCTGTCCTCCCATCCAGTGCCTGGGACCCGGCAGCGCCGTCGAGGCAGGGGGCTGCGAGGCGGGACCCAGTTGCACGTGGGCCCTGTGGGGTCACTCCCTTTCGGGGGTCCTCTAGCTCTTCACCCTGCGCGCGTGGGGCAGACCAGATGCCTCGAGGAGCTCCAGGACCAGTGCCTATGGGGTAGTCCCTGCCGGCGGTGGGCCCCAGTCCCAGACTGCGGCGCGCTATTTCTTTCTGGGGTTCGTGTGAGCGTGGGCTGCCAGAATGGTGCCCACAAGCTGCTTTTGGGTGATTCAAATCATTTATACAGATAGTGCCCCTGCAAAAAACATTTGCGCAGGGCCCCGCTTACGCCAGAGGATTGCGGGCCACTTCTGGGCATCGCTCCTCGTGGGGATGGGAGCATCTCCCTGGAGAGCCCTTTGCAAAGGCCAAGCGCCGGCCAAAGGCACACCGCTGGACGCGTTTCCTTCCTTCTGGAGAGATGACCAGGAATGCAGGATCCAAAGGGGGTCTTGGAGGGAGGGCGGGAAGGGCATCTCCGGATCTGGGCAGACCCAGGGCTGCCGGCTCCCCGAGGAGAATACGGGCTGGGGGCGAGGAGCCGGAGGGCAGGTCAGGCAGTGCATCAACCCTTGGCTCCTCCACCGCAGCCCCAGCCCGCAGGCTATCGCTCAGGCTTCTCTCTCCGGGTTATGTAACCCCGGGACGGGACGTGGCAGCCGGGTGAGTGAGCGAAGGAGTAGGGGAGGGAAGGGAAAGGAGAGGAGGGGCAGGGCCGGGCTTGGTGATGGTGGTGGTGGGAAGCGCCGCCGTGCCGCCTCTTCTTGGGCCCCTTGGGTTGTCTTTCTGGAGGATTCCGGGACCAGCCCTCTCCCCAGGCTCCGGGTCGCCCCCTAGCCCCCCGCCGCCTCATTTTCCCTTCACTCTTT
Organism: Homo sapiens; assembly: GCF_000001405.40. Lineage (NCBI taxonomy): Eukaryota > Metazoa > Chordata > Mammalia > Primates > Hominidae > Homo > Homo sapiens. The sequence goes on along the minus strand of NC_000020.11, from coordinate 2,804,833 downwards.
TCCCCCTTCTGTCCCACCCGCCCTGCCAGGGGGCCTCTGGCTCTGGATAGCTTTTCCTCTCCGGTTGTAGTTTCCTTCCCAAAGTTCTCAGCTTTGCTACCTCGCCCAAGTCATTAGCCGCTCTGAGCCTCAGTTTATCAGTTTGTAAAATGAAGTTTGATTGAGCGGCCACGTGTAAAACTCCTGGCATAGTGCATGGTACAAAGTAGATGTCTGCTGCAGGCTAAGGGCCTCGAGGGGCTAAGTGAAATGTTGTGTGCCAGGCTGGGTGTCAGAGCCCCGGGAGCCGCAGCCACGAATGGTTGGCTCCCGGGTGGTAAAAGAATTTATCAACAACAGTATAGGTTTGAAAAGTTTTATTAGATGGAAAGAACTCCACAGCAGAGCGCAGCGGGATGCTTCGGCAAGAGAGGCCTGAGCTCACTTGCAGGGAACTGAAGGGTAATTTTGACCACATTAGTTTTGTAGGTCATAGTAAATGATTACATTTGTAGACATTTTGGCACCTTGATGACAGCAAAGGTTGCACAATGGGTTCCAACATGCGTGCATTCCGGAGATGTATAGAAATTCTAGGGAAAGAAGCCTGGTACCAGATGTGGCTTTAGATAATAGGAAAGTACCATTCTGAGTTCTTCAGATAAGGTGCTTTGCCTCCTGATGGTCTGCTTGATGGCCACCAGGTGATCCTTGCTCTCCTCATTTTCCCCCTGATAAATATTTTGGGCAAATCTTTGACCCTTTGTATTTCTCCATGCTCATGTCTACTTGTCTGTTAGGATCCCAAGAAAGGGAAAATGGCACAGTGAAGAGGGGTGTCCAGTCTATCTGGCTACTTCCTGCTGAAAAGGGGCATTGAAAGGATTCCTTTCTTGCTTTCTGTCATGAAGGGAATGAAGGGTCATGATAAACTTGTTCATGGAGGGAAGACCAGATTCCATCAAGAGGCCCCATGAAAATAGAAGTTGCTGTTGCAGGCTGGTATTGGGATTGCATAGTCATCTGTAGGTGGAATCATTGTAAGCTGGAAGATATAAGCATTAAAAGGCAGGAATTACCGGCATGCACCTCCATGCCCACAGATTTTTGTGTTTTTAGTAGAGACAGGTTCTCACCATGTTGGCCAGGCTGGTCTCCAACTCCTGACCTCAGGTGATCCGCCCGCCTCGCCTTGGTCTCCCAAAGTACTAGGATTACAGGTGTGAGCAACCACACCTGGCCCCTGGGGTCTCAATTTGTGTATTTATGCATGGCCTCCACCAGTCTAGCTTGGAAAAGGGCAGGGCTTTCAGATAGTTTCATACATACAAAATTATTATTTCTTTTTATTTTATTTTATTTGAGATGGAATTTCGCTCTTGTTGCCCAGGCTGGAGTGCAGTGGCGCAATCTCAGCTCACCACAACTTCCGCCTCCAAGGTTCAAACGATTCTCCTGCCTCAGCCTCTGGAGTAACTGGGATTACAGGCATGCACCACCATGCCCAGCTCATTTTGTATTTTTAGTAGAGATGGGGTTTCTCCGTGTTGGCTAGGCTGGTCTCAAACCTCAGGTGACCCGCTCGCCTCAGCCTCCCAAAGTGCTGGGATTACAGGTGTGAGCCACCGCGCCCAGCTATTATTTCTTATAATTTAGAAAAATTAACAGGTTTTATTATATATTTTTCATTCCCTCCAACAGAGAAGTTACCATATGATCCTGTCTGCCCTTACCTCTGTTTGGGCCAGAATTGGTGGCCTGGTATTGCCAATAGGTTCTATGTTGGGGACAGCTTCTGCCCAGCTCTGTTATTAGGACTGGGAGCATGAGCTTCATCTGCCCATGCTGAAGATCACACGTGTGATTTTTTGTGTGTGGGAACAGCAGGTAGTTAATACCACAAATACATCTTGCCAGGTTAAATCAAAGGCAACAGTTAAAGTCTGAAATTCTTGAATGAACTTAGAGGGATCCTGACTAAATGAACCCAACTTGGATTGAATTTGCAAAAGATCAGACATGATCAGAAAAGGGACATGAACTTGGCTTGTTCCCAAATCTTCATTAGCCACCTTAGGGAGAGGCAAAATATTTTGGGGATTTTTCTGAGGACTCTGTACTAGTAGCATATGTGACTCCCCTGAGAGTATGTGAAGGGGAGAAAGTATTTGGGTATGTGGGTGGGAGATTGACTAGGGAATGGAGCAGATGGAGAGGGTGTAGGTGAAGAGTGAGCAGGTTGAGGAGGATGTAATAGGCAAAAGGAAGGATCATCTAAGACATCAGAACCGGGAAGGGAGGACGTTCCTTGGAAGCATACATGACAATTTGTATGTAATTTTGGGTTTGGATTTGGGGATAAAGCAAAAAAGACCTGAACATATGGGACTTCTGAATCCTTTCCAAGGTTCCGGCAAAAAATCAGTTAAGTTGTAAAGTAGCATTGCAATCCCAAGTTTCATTAATTGGCCAAATTGATTGATTAGGGAGCTTGTATTGAACCCAAGCAATATTAGAAAAAAGGATATGCTTTTTAAACTCTTATTTATTTTTTATTTGTATTTTTTGAGACAGAGTCTTGCTGTGTCGCCCAGGCTGGAGTGCTGTGGCGCCATCTTGGCCCACTGCAACCTCCGCCCCCGGGGTACAAGTGATTCTCCTGCCTCAGCCTCCCTAGTAGCTGGGATTATATGTGCCCGCCACATATAATTAGCCCCCTGGCTGATTTTTTTTTTTTTTTTGTATTTTTAGTAGAGACAGGGTTTCGCCATGTTGGCCAGGCTGATCTCGAACTCCTGACCTCAGGTGATCCACTCGCCTCGGCCTCCCAAAGTGCTAGGATTACAGGTGTGAGTCACTGTGCCCGGCCAAGTTTTGCATTTTTAGTAGACTCCCGGTCTTTAACTCCGGACCTCAGGTGATCTGCCTGCCTTGGCCTCCCAAAGTGCTGGGGTTACAGGCATAAGCCATTGTGCTCAGCCTTATATGCTTATTTTTAAGAGTTTGTGGGTCAAAATGAGACCAATGGGACCATTTTTAAGGAGGCAATCCAAGGGCGAGTTGGATGGAACTGAATTAATTGAACCGAAGTTGGGTTTAGACAAGGAACTACAAGATCCCTGAGGCATCCCTGTGTAGAATTGAGATCCACCGCTTCCAGGACAAGGCTTATGGAGTGTTAAAATGAAAGTGCCCTGCCACTCTGACAGGCAATAGCTCTTTTGTCTTGGCCTTGGGGTAATACCGGGGGATGGCGCTTGGCCAGAAACTGTCAGTTGCCAACGAGAACTCAAGCTGGTTCACTGGCAGTCCGAAAACAGAAAAGAGCCCTGGCCAGTCCCTCACCCCTAAGGGCAAGGACAGCCAGGTATCCCTTCTCTAGGGCTTCAGGATCCCACAGAAGAGCTGCCTCCACCGGGACCGGCAGTTCCCCAAAGAGTAAAGAACCAGACCGTGGAAGGAAGCAGAGAGAAAAAGGAAGAGGGAAATCCCAGTGAAGTCCCCGTATGGGCCACCAAGATGCCAGGCGAGGTGTCAGAGCTCCGGAACCGGGAAGTGGTTGGCTCCCGGGTGGTAAAAGAACTTATCAACAACCGTGTAGGTCTGAAAAGGAAAGTTTTATTAGACGGAAAGGACGAGGCAGCAGAGCGCAGTAGGCGCTTCAGCAAGAGAGGACTGAGCTCCCTGCGGGGAACTGCAGGGTAATTTGGACCACATTAGTCACTTAGGTCATGGTAAATGGTTACATTTGTCGATATTTTGGTGCCTTGATGTCAGCAAAGTTTGCACAATGGGTCTTAACGTGCACTCATTCCGGAAACGTACAGAAATTCTAGTTACTTATAAATTCTTGGGACGGAAGCTTGGTACCAGATGTGGCTTTAGACAATAGGGAAGTGTCATTCTGAATTGCTCAGATAAGGGGCTTTGCCTCCTGTTGGTCGACTTGATGGCCACCAGGTGATCTCTGGTCTCTTCAGTGTGGCTTTGCAGACTATAAAGGCGCAGCGCGCCAACGAGGCGGGTTGGCCCCAGACGGCGGAGAGGAAGGGCAGAGTCGGCGGTCCTGAGACTTGGGGCGGCCCCTTGGAGGTCAGCCCCGCTCGCTCCTCCCGGCCCTCTCCTCCTCTCCGAGGTCCGAGGCGGGCAGCGGGCTGTGGGCGGGCAGGAGGCTGCGGAGGGGCGGGGGGCAGGAAGGGGCGGGGGGCTCGGCGCACTCGGCAGGAAGAGACCGACCCGCCACCCGCCGTAGCCCGCGCGCCCCTGGCACTCAATCCCCGCCATGTGGGGGCTCCTGCTCGCCCTGGCCGCCTTCGCGCCGGCCGTCGGCCCGGCTCTGGGGGCGCCCAGGAACTCGGTGCTGGGCCTCGCGCAGCCCGGGACCACCAAGGTCCCAGGCTCGACCCCGGCCCTGCATAGCAGCCCGGCACAGCCGCCGGCGGAGACAGCTAACGGTGAGTTCCCCGACCGACGGTCCGCTCCCCCGCAAGCCGACTGCCCGGCTCTCCTGCCCCGTGGGGCGATCCCTCCCTAACACGCGGGCACACGCACACCCACGCACACTCACAGTCATGCACACTCACCCCGCACGCACACTCGCACTCACGCGCACACACGCGCGCGCACTCACACACATTCACACACGCGCACACTTGCACTCACACGCGCGCGCATTCACACGCATGCACACACACGCACACTCACACGCGCGTGCGCGCACACACAGTGCACGCGCGCGCACACTCACACTCACAGTGCACACACACATATACACACTCACACTCCCTCAACTCCCTGCTGGGAGCAATGGCTGCTGACTCGGCAGCCCCAGTTCCCTGCCAGACCTAGTCAGCAGTCCCAGGACAGGCGCCAGTGGGATGCTGCCTCTTCCAAGCCCCAAACCTTCCCTTTTCACCAAAGACAAAACAGGCCAGAACTGGCAGGAGGGGAGACAGAGGGGCAGAAGCTCTCAAGGTGCAGAGCAAGACTGCGTAGGAGAGAGTTTGAAGGCGAGGGCTGGAGAGAAAGAACAAAAGGAAAGAAGGGAGAGCCCCTCGCTGAGGCTGCCGGGAGGATGGGGCAGAGCGGGAGAGGAAGGCAGCCCGACCTCCCAGCTTTCCAGATGTGGAATAGGAGAGGAGGAGCGCAAGCGGAGGGCACTCAGGGGCTTCTAGAGGAGGCAAGTGGAGGAGGGTCTTGAAGGGTGATGTCCCCGAGTCAGGGGAGTCTGGAGAGAGAGAGAGAGAGAGGGCTGCCAAGAAGGAAGCGGCGGGCAAAGGCACAGGGGCACCAGATGCGGAAATGGGCAGCCTGTTCTGGAGGCAGCTGTGGAGCTTCGATGGGTACCCCCAGCACCTGCCTGGGCAGAGCCTTGTGCTGAAGGGCCGGCGGGCAGGCCCAGCCCTGAAAGCCTCGACACCCAGGCAGACATGGATTCCAGGACAGGCCATCTGAGCCCAGAGAGCAGACACAACAATGGAAGCGGCACAGGGGTTTTGGGGCATGATGCTGAGTCTGGAGCTAAGAAAGCCTCCTTGGAAAGGCATCTGGGCTGAGATGCAAAGGAAGAATGGGAATTAGGTGAAAAAATCAGAGGCGAGGGGTAGCATTACAGGGGAGGGGATAGCTAGTGCAGAGGCCCGGAGGTAAAGTGCCAGACTCAGCTCTTTGGAGCAACCGAACAGTTTCTAGAGGCTGGGTGCAGCTCTCCATTGGATTAGAGGTTCACAGGGGAGGCTGGCCAAGCATGTAGTTACATCAGGGAGGAGAAGGAGGAGCCAAGGAAGTGACTGGAGAGGCAGGTTGGGGTCAGATTGCAGGCCTTTGATGTCCTGTGAAGGCTGTTAGATCCTGGTGGTGTGGCCTGCTGTGGGCTCACATGTCTTCTTGGGCTGGCAGACCTTTCCATCCGGGGTTTCACCATTCTTCCTTTCCCCCATGCTGTGCCTCTCGGACCCCAAGGGACCTCAGAACAGCATGTCCGGATTCGAGTCATCAAGAAGAAAAAGGTCATTATGAAGAAGCGGAAGAAGCTAACTCTAACTCGCCCCACCCCACTGGTGACTGCCGGGCCCCTTGTGACCCCCACTCCAGCAGGGACCCTCGACCCCGCTGAGAAACAAGAAACAGGTACTTCCTCTCCAGGGGCCCAGCCCAGACTTGCAGCCCCTGGGGCACTTTACCAGCACAGCTCTTGGCCTCATGGGCACCGGCACGCCCCTTGCTTGCCTAGCGCAGGAGCAACCTTAGGCTCAGCTTCCCACCTGCCCTGGCTACCCTCCCTCTGGTCCTGTCTCACTGTTCTATCCCCGCCCCAGGCTGTCCTCCTTTGGGTCTGGAGTCCCTGCGAGTTTCAGATAGCCGGCTTGAGGCATCCAGCAGCCAGTCCTTTGGTCTTGGACCACACCGAGGACGGCTCAACATTCAGGTCAGTAATCCTGGCTCGGAGCCATGGTCTCAGGGTAGGGAAGGCAGCCCCTGGGAGCTTCTCTCCTGCCTCCTCTCTGTCCTGGCCTGCCCCACTCTGTCCAACTGGGCCTGACCACCATGTCCTGTGTCTGCAGTCAGGCCTGGAGGACGGCGATCTATATGATGGAGCCTGGTGTGCTGAGGAGCAGGACGCCGATCCATGGTTTCAGGTGGACGCTGGGCACCCCACCCGCTTCTCGGGTGTTATCACACAGGGCAGGAACTCTGTCTGGAGGTGAGGCAGACTAACCCTAGGTCAGGAGGTCACAGAAGGACTGGGGTGGGAGTCCTGGGGGCACCGATGATCTCTCTCCACCTCTCCTGCCAGGTATGACTGGGTCACATCATACAAGGTCCAGTTCAGCAATGACAGTCGGACCTGGTGGGGAAGTAGGAACCACAGCAGTGGGATGGACGCAGTGAGTGGTCCCACTGTGGCTGGGGCCTCCATGCTGGGAGTTGGGCACCCAGTCCAGGCTAGGCTGAGGCTCCTCTGAGGACAAGGAATAGACGCCAGCTTAGGCTTCCCAGGGGGGTGTGGCTTGTTGTCAAGAGGGTGGCACACGGCAGGCACCATTGGGAGCCAGCTGCTTTGGGACATGCCCACATCCTCCCCAGATAATGCCACCACAGGGTGGGTGCTGCTTCACGGTACAGCTTCCTCCTGGCGTGCCCCTTCTGGCCCGGGGCCTCTGGTCCACATCACTTCTTGCCTTCTCGTGGTTCTGACTTCCGCATCTCATGGACCTCTTTTTACAGCAGGCTACAATGTGGAGTCCTGGCCAGCTCTAGGATTGGCTTCCCCCGAGTCATGTGGCCAAACTGGTCTAATGAACTGTGTCCAATCCAGAGAGCAAGGCTGCCTAGGGCTGCCCATTGGCAGGGGCTGTGGGCCGGGGTCTGTGTTTGATGCACAGTGCAAGTCTCTAGCTGAGCCCACTAGGGTGGGGAGACAGTAAGCTTGGAGGCCTGAGCTCCTTCCCTGGGTCCTGGGCCAGGCTTCTGGGGTTTGAGCAGCCACAACAGAGAACTTGCTGCCCCCAGGTATTTCCTGCCAATTCAGACCCAGAAACTCCAGTGCTGAACCTCCTGCCGGAGCCCCAGGTGGCCCGCTTCATTCGCCTGCTGCCCCAGACCTGGCTCCAGGGAGGCGCGCCTTGCCTCCGGGCAGAGATCCTGGCCTGCCCAGTCTCAGGTGGGCAGTCAGGCCAGGGTTGGTTGGGCAGGGCTTGGATGCAGGGTGCATCCTTCACTGTGGACACACCCTTTACCATAAACTCAACCTCCACCAGACCCCAATGACCTATTCCTTGAGGCCCCTGCGTCGGGATCCTCTGACCCTCTAGACTTTCAGCATCACAATTACAAGGCCATGAGGAAGGTCAGATATAACCCCTATGACCTGGGAAGGAGGGCCCACCCATCTCAGGTCCCCTTCCCACCTTCCCACCGGGGCACAACCTGCTGTGACTGCGCTTGTATGCCCCTGCTGCCTCCTGATGTCTCAGCCTTCTCTCCTGTGGACCCCTAAGCTCCATCCCACTTTCCCTTATTATGGCGCCCCCCCAGTCCTACCCCTTCCTCCCGGCTCTGCTGCCGCTCCCCTCCTGTACCATGATGGGATGCCCCCTCTGTGTGGGCCATCGCTGACTTTTTAAGTCTTTCCATGGCACATGTGATCTGCCCCTGGGTGTACCCCTCCCATGCCTCATGCCACGCTACACTCTGCCCACCAGCTGATGAAGCAGGTACAAGAGCAATGCCCCAACATCACCCGCATCTACAGCATTGGGAAGAGCTACCAGGGCCTGAAGCTGTATGTGATGGAAATGTCGGACAAGCCTGGGGAGCATGAGCTGGGTACTGGCATGGGGAGTGGGGAGAGGTAGGCACAGGGCAGGGCCCCAGGCATGAACCCGCTGCAAGCCCCCATGTGTCCCCAGGGGAGCCTGAGGTGCGCTACGTGGCTGGCATGCATGGGAACGAGGCCCTGGGGCGGGAGTTGCTTCTGCTCCTGATGCAGTTCCTGTGCCATGAGTTCCTGCGAGGGAACCCACGGGTGACCCGGCTGCTCTCTGAGATGCGCATTCACCTGCTGCCCTCCATGAACCCTGATGGCTATGAGATCGCCTACCACCGGGTAGGCCACCCAGCATGAGGGCCACTCTGTCCTTCTGCCCTGGTGGCTGGACCTGCTCGACTTGAACAAGCCTCTTGCCCGGCAGGGTTCAGAGCTGGTGGGCTGGGCCGAGGGCCGCTGGAACAACCAGAGCATCGATCTTAACCATAATTTTGCTGACCTCAACACACCACTGTGGGAAGCACAGGACGATGGGAAGGTGCCCCACATCGTCCCCAACCATCACCTGCCATTGCCCACTTACTACACCCTGCCCAATGCCACCGTGAGTATTTTGAGGGCGGCAGTGGAGGTCTGTGGGGGGCGGACCTTGTCTCTGTCTCCTGCCCCTCCTGACCTGCCCCATCCAGGTGGCTCCTGAAACGCGGGCAGTAATCAAGTGGATGAAGCGGATCCCCTTTGTGCTAAGTGCCAACCTCCACGGGGGTGAGCTCGTGGTGTCCTACCCATTCGACATGACTCGCACCCCGTGGGCTGCCCGCGAGCTCACGCCCACACCAGATGATGCTGTGTTTCGCTGGCTCAGCACTGTCTATGCTGGCAGTAATCTGGCCATGCAGGACACCAGCCGCCGACCCTGCCACAGCCAGGACTTCTCCGTGCACGGCAACATCATCAACGGGGCTGACTGGCACACGGTCCCCGGGAGTATGTGCCTGAGGGTGGAGTTAGCCCTGGCCCCGTAACCCCCGCCCTGATAAGACAGCCTGCGGTTGCGTACAGTGCTGGCGTCTGTTCCCACTCTGAAGTGTCCCTCAGAGAAGGGAGGGTAGCGGGAGGATGGGACCGCATCCCGCCTGCTTAGGCAGCAGTGTCTGTGGTCCCCTTAGGCATGAATGACTTCAGCTACCTACACACCAACTGCTTTGAGGTCACTGTGGAGCTGTCCTGTGACAAGTTCCCTCACGAGAATGAATTGCCCCAGGAGTGGGAGAACAACAAAGACGCCCTCCTCACCTACCTGGAGCAGGTCGGATCTGCGTCCCGGCCCCCAGCCTGCCTGAATCACTCCTGCTGTCCATTTAGGCTACAGCTCCTACCAGGGGTTCTTCTAAGGTCCAGCTGAGCATTCAGACTCACAAGATGCCATGGGCCATGCTTGGTATCAGATTGTCTTGGAAGCACACAGGACAGGAAGTGCAGTTTGCTGGCAGCGTGGCATCGTGTTAGAGCCGGTGGGAGGAGCCTCCATTGCAGTCTAGGTGGTGGTCCGTGGCGCTGCCCCAGAGCTATCCTCAGGAGAGACTCACGTGAGGCAGGTGCAGGAGCTGTCCTGGCATAGAAGCTTCATGTTCCATGGAGCTCATAACCCTTGTAATAGCTCCATAAGCAGAGCTTCCAAAGGGTCTACCAAAGACAAGCCCAATAACCTGGGAAAGCCCAAGGATAGATAAGCCTTCCTACCAGGTATTTATCATTTTCTTAGTCCAGATGTGATTTGTCAATCAGGATTTCTTTTTTTTTTTTCTTCCAGAAGTAGTGTCACCTAGGAACACAGTAGACCTACCACTTTGCTCAGGTTTGCAGGGCAACAGAGCCAGCAAGTTAGCTAAACAGCACATTATCCTGCCGAAGGGGAAGGGCTCTGATAACCTCTTCCCACACAGGTGCGCATGGGCATTGCAGGAGTGGTGAGGGACAAGGACACGGAGCTTGGGATTGCTGACGCTGTCATTGCCGTGGATGGGATTAACCATGACGTGACCACGGGTGTGTTTGACCGGGAGGGCAAGGGAAGGGGCTGGAGGGCTGGAGGCTCGGGAAGAAGCAGAAGATCATTAATTGGGTCCTGATCGTGCCCTTCACTCTCCTCAGCGTGGGGCGGGGATTATTGGCGTCTGCTGACCCCAGGGGACTACATGGTGACTGCCAGTGCCGAGGGCTACCATTCAGTGACACGGAACTGTCGGGTCACCTTTGAAGAGGGCCCCTTCCCCTGCAATTTCGTGCTCACCAAGACTCCCAAACAGAGGCTGCGCGAGCTGCTGGCAGCTGGGGCCAAGGTGCCCCCGGACCTTCGCAGGCGCCTGGAGCGGCTAAGGGGACAGAAGGATTGATACCTGCGGTTTAAGAGCCCTAGGGCAGGCTGGACCTGTCAAGACGGGAAGGGGAAGAGTAGAGAGGGAGGGACAAAGTGAGGAAAAGGTGCTCATTAAAGCTACCGGGCACCTTAGCTCATCTTCGTGTTGTCTCTGTGCCCCAGGTCCTCCCCCCGGGGGCGGGCCTCGGCCCAGCCCTCAGTTCCTATTCTGCACACTTGCACACTCTCATCAGTTGGCTTCTGGACACATTGTGTGAAAAGAGGATCCCACCTGGGCTCTTCTTGAACCAAGGGCCTGGCAGAGCAACTCATTTCTTCTGATCAGCTTCTGCTACAGGTACCATTACACTGCTGCCAGGCATTCTGTAAGCGCCTGCTCATTGCCAGGTGTGCAAGGAATCAGGATCAGCCGTGCCTGCACTCAAACTCCTGGGGCTCCTAGTCAAGGGAAAGGACAGTTCGGTACATTGTGAGACATGCTAGGGTGGAGGCCAGGTGCCGTGAGAGTGCAGGGGAGCTGCACACGTGAAATACAGCACTGCACATCAACAGGACTGGGGCAGTCAAGGATGCAATAGAAGTAGTGGCTCTAGAAGTT